>NC_000007.14:91597688-91900718 GCF_000001405.40 Homo sapiens
CTTGTACCTGGATCAGACTTGCTGAACTTGAAGCTAAGAACTCTAAGAATTTGTATCATTGATCCATTGATGTGGTACAGCCAGGTCATATTAGCTCATGAGAGACAATTGTTAGCATCTCTTCCTAACTCCAAATTCACTGGTGCCTCATTGATAGCTTGCAGAGGCATTTACCCTGCAGAAACCAGCAAAGACCACAAACTAGCGCTCTTTTTCTGGAAATTCATTTGTCAAACATTTACCAATGCACCATCACTTTGATCCCAGGATATGAACTGACACATTTCTCCTGGTTTCAGTGGCAGACTCACCTCATGGTCATAAAGGATATAGCATTGAGAGAAGTGAGGAAGAAGAAAAAAACACAGGACCAGTTCATACTTCAAGTTATTATTATTCAAAGGGCACCCCACACAGGTGCAATTGTCCTGTGTTCCCTGACTCTGCTCCATTCCAGTCCCCTACCTCCCTGTAATTGCAATCTAAGGCACATTTTCCTTTTTAAGAGAAAATTTAATACCAAAAATATCATTAAAGAGTCTAGCACCTGAGAATTCTTGTCTGAGGCAATGTGAATTTTTTTCTTTTTAAAATCAGGAATACTGATGAGTTTCCTTATTGGAGTATCACAGGGGATTCTGATTCTGTTGGAATCCTGGCCAAGAGCTTCATGTGCAGAGGGTGGTTAATTGATGGAGCGACACTGTAGGAAAGTTAAACAGATAAGTTCCAGGACTACCCACTGCAATTAGGATATAAATCATTTAGTGATGTACAAATTAAACAAATAATGTACCCAATGTTTTAAAAATTGATCTTGATTATATTCTATTACAAAAAATAGCATACAATTAGTTCTTGTCCCTAAAGAAGTTTTGAGCCCCAGATTATAACTCATTTATTTGAACAGTATTTGATACCAAAAAATCTAGTCAAGCAGAATAATTATGATGGTCCTTTTATCACAACATCAGGCCCAATTCTGAAATTTCCACTTGTTCATTCAATAAGCACTTATTGAGCATCTCTAGGAACCAGGCATGGTTCTCCATGATGGAGATACAGAGGTGAATAACACAGGCACAATATTTGCTGTCATGGGGTTTATATCCTGGCTATGGTGAAATGACACACACATCTAAACGTGTAATACAGACAATTAAAATAGGCAGATATAGTAGAGCATGACAAGCTGGATCCAAGTTAGAATGTGTAATTTACATTTAGGCTGAGTTCTGAATCACAAGAAACAGGCAGCTATTATAAGATCCAGGCAAGAGCTTTGTGGCCAGAATAGCCAGCCAGACAGCTGGTGCAGAGGCCCCAAGGCAAGAATGAGTTTGGCATTTTCAAGGACCAAAAAGTTGGCTACCATGGCCAAAACATAGCAGGCAGAATGGAGGTTGTTTGAAATGAGGTCAAAGAAATAATCAGGAGCCAGACCATGGGGACTTCACAGCTAGAGTAAGGAATCTGGAATTCATTCCAAGTATGATTGGAAGTCATTGGATGGTTTCAATAAGGGAAGTGATGTAACCTAATTTACATGTTTACATGATGCTTCTGGCTGCTTTTCTGAGAGTGGAGTCAGGTGGGAGGAAGGGATGATGGAGAAAAAGCCAGAACACCTGTGAGGAGGCTAAGTCAGATATTCAGAAAAAAGGTAAGAGTGTGGCCACAGGTGCTGGCATAGGCTTCTTGCGCATCACTTCATGCTTTTTTTAACAGATGTAAATCTGGTGATTTGGACTAAGGTGGTGATAGTGGAGAAAACAAGGAGAAGGCTTTAGGATATGAGTTAGACGCATAATCAAAAGGGCTTTCTACTGGATTGATTACAGAAGGTGAGAATCAAGAAATCAAGGCTGACACCTAGATTTTCAGCTTAGGCACATGCCTGGATGGTGATGTTGATGGCATAATTTAATGAGATGGAAATTCCTGAGGAGAACATCTTTAGGAAGGAAATAGGAGTTCTGTTTCAGCCACACCAAATAAAGAATGCCTATTTGACATTGTTATAATGTCTGTAACATTGCTATAATGTCTGTAAAATATTTCTGCATTGAGAGTATAAAGGGTTTGTGTGTGTGTGTGCATGTGTGTTTTCTGTTAATTTAGGCAATACCCTAGGGACAGCTAATTGTCCTAATTCACAATTCAACCTTCAAAGGTGGTTGGATAACATTATATCAGAAAATCTACCCTCCACATGTCACTACTACAGGTGCTTTGGCTATTGTTATTTTTAACCAACCCCAAATCTCTGCTAATTAGCGTAATGAATGTTACAAGTGGGTTTTCATTGGTGAAACTAGTGGGAGTAGATTAAGTTGATGAAAATAAAGATATATGTATTGGTTCAAATACTTTAGAGACACTACCCTTTCATGAACAGTATATAATAATTTAGCATCTTTTGTAGCCTATGCTTTGTGACTAGGGCCTGAGTCTTAATCCCTTAATGGTGCTGTGTCCAACCATTGGTTCTGAGCATTCTGGTAATCAATGCCAGCTATAAGAGTAAGGATCCTTTGTCTAGAATATTGTTGCATCTGACTGAAATGAGCACTTCATCAAGGTGTGGTTGGGTCACCTGAGGGGACACAGAGCTGGGACTTCATCAAGCTTAAAGAATGCCTTAGATCCAGAACAAGATAAGAATGTCTGTTCTCACTTTTTTTCAACATTGTACCAAAGGTTCTAGCCAGGGCATTTGGGCAAGTAAATGAAATAAAGGGCAACCAGATTGAAAAGCAAGAAGTAAAAGTATCTCTATTTGCAGATGACATGATCTTATATAGAGAGAAAATCCTAAGGAATCCACTAAAAATACTATTAGAACTCATAAGTGAGTTCATCAAGGTTTCAGAATACAAGATTAACATACAAAAATCAGTTCCATTTTTGTTTACTTGCAATGAAAAATCTAAAAATAAAATTAAGAAAGTAACCTAATTTATAGTAACATCACAAAGAATAAAATATTTAGGAATAAATTCAACAAAAGAAGTACAAAATTTACACTCTGAGAACTCTAAAACACTGCTAAAAGGAATGAAGGAAACCTAAATAAATGGAAAAACATCACATGTTCACAGAATAGAAGACTTAATATTGTTAAAATGGCAATACTCCCCAAACTAATCTACAGATTTAATGTAATCTCTATCAAAATTTCATTATTTGGCATTTGATGCTAAAACTGTTATTGAAATGTAAAGGTCCCAGAAGAAAATGAATATGACTACAGTAGCTGGTTAGCAGAGAGGCCACAGGCAAATAGTCATCTTTCCCTTATCTACTAAAATCTACTAAATCTTGTCCCTATTTTTTTTGTTGTTGTTGTTGTTGTTTTTTGGTTTTTCTCTATGTCTGGAAAAAAAACTATCCATGTCACTCACCAGTCGGTCTGTATGCAATGGTGTCACCAAACAGAATTCTTCTCTCTCCCTTGCCTTTCATTCTCTACCTTGTTCCACTCTCAGGTAGGATTTCTATGGATGCAATACCTTCTGATCCCCACATACAGCATCTTGCCCAGTGCTGCTATTAGATCTGGTTCTTTTTAACAGAGCATACCCTTTCACTGCCATATGTCAAATATGAGTCTTGTCCAAGCCTTACTGACCCCTCTAAGAAGCCAACTCAATCTCTGTGTTTAAAACATTGCAAACAAATGGATGGGCCCTAAAATTTAGATAATAAAAGAAAACCAAGAATTCCATTAAATCTGCAGCTACATTCAAACTCAACCACACCCATGCTTCACTTAGAGTTTGGGAAATTCTCTGGCTTATTTCTTTCATCTTTGCTTTGGCTTCTTTGCCTTTTTCTTTTCTTTTTTTTCCTTTTTTTTTTTTTTCTTTAGAAGGAGTCTCGCTCTGTCGCCCAGGCTGAAGTGCAGTGGCACAATCTAGGCTCACTGCAACCTCCTCCTCTGGGGTTCAAGTGATTCTCCTGCCTCAGCCTCCTGAGTAACTGGGATTACAGGTGCACTCCACCACCCCCAGCTGCTAGTTTTTGTATTTTTAGTAGAGACAGGGTTTCACCATGTTGGTCAGCCTGGTGTCGAACTCCTGACCGATCTGCCTGCCTCGGCTTTCCAAAGTGCTGGGATTACAGGCATGAGCCACTGCACCCAGCCTTCTTTGTCTTTTTCTAATGTTCAGAAGCTTTTAAAAAATACCAGTTCCTTCACTAAGCACTGAATTTGTGGTGGGTCATCCTGCATTTTAATATCAATTTCCTCATCAGTTTAACTGTGGTGAGCATTACTGCTCTGTTTACTTCATCAGTTTTTGAGGATCAAAATAAATAGTATGTGAATGTGGCGTTTTTTCATTGTAAAGCTCTACATAAACATAAAATCTTATTTCATACTCAAATGAGGCATACATTTTCATTCATCAGTTTTTTTAAAAGGTGATTTGCAGTACAGTGTGTTCACACTTACACATAGCCAGATTAATATTTATTTAGGGACTTTTACATCAGACCTGTTCAATAAATAACTACAGAATTGCAGCTATTCTTCAATGACCAACATTTCTTTAACAGGGTACAGTGTTTAGGGACAAAGCTTAAAATCTAAGTAGCCCCTGAAGATATAAAACATTGAGTTAAATTCATACCAAGGGTTAGTGATCCTTTGCTAAACCAGATATCGTTAGGCCGAACAATTATTAGATTTCAGGCTTGGAGTTATGCAGTGTAGGATGGGAGTGCATCATTCTTACCAAGATGGTAATCTTTACAAAGCTGACTCTTCTACAGTGACATAATTGAATTATAAATTCTTCTCAAAAAATAGTTATCAACTTGTGTATATCCCAAAACATCATAAGAAAAATTTTTAAGTAAATAAAGTAGGAAAAAATATATTCTACACTTCTGAAACACAAAGAGTTTACACTATAAGGAAAAGACAAATACCCTAACTGAAAAACAAATGTAGAACATGATCAGGCAGTTCTCTCAAGAAATATAAGTGACCAGTAACAATGAACAAAATATTAAATATCTTTGGAAGTTATTTCAAAGAAATGCAAATTAACTTAAGACATATTGTCACCTATCAGATTAGCAACAATTATAACATATTCAATATTGGTTAGAATTTATGGACTGGAAACTGTGGTCAAAAAATGTAAAATTGATATATCCTTCCCAAAGGATAGTTGAACAATATGTATGAAATGCCTTGTAAAAATTTATTTTTTAATCCAATGACCCCATCTCTAGCACTCCTGAGGAAGTACAGATGGTCCCCACCTTGTGGTTCAACTTGTTTCAACTTTATCATGATGTGAAAGCAATATACATTCAGTAGAAACTGTACCTAGAGAGTACCCATATAATCATTCTGTTTTTCACTTTCAGCACAATATTCAATAAAGTTCTTGAGATATCCAACACTTTTTTATAAAATAGGCTTTGTATTAGATGATTTTGCCCAACTGTTAATGTAAGTGTTCTGAGCATGTTTAAGGTAGGCAAGGCTAAGCTAGGATGTTCAGTAGGTTAGGTCTATTAAGTGCATTTTTGACTTACAATATTTTCAATCTGCAATGGGTTTATTGGGATGTAAACCCATCGTAAGTCAAAGAGGATCTGTATTCAAAAGGTGCATGTGGAGTTTTGGTCAAGGAGGATCATTGAACGATTATTTTGGTCATAAATTGAAAAGCTAAAATAGAAAAACAATAAAGCTAATTATGGAATGAAATGTTCTGTAGCCCTTGAACATCATTTTATTGAAGAATATTAACAAGGGAAAGTCCTCGTGGTACACTGCTAATTTTAAAAAGCATATTACAAAATCGAATATAAAATATATTTCCATTTATATAAAAAGTCTGAAAGGATATAAACAATGTTGTGGTAATATCTGGCTGATGGAATTACAGGTAATTTTTAAATCTCCCTTGTGCTCTTTTACAGTTTATTTTCAAAATTTCAATAGCAAACATGTATTGCTTTTGTAAGAAGTAGCAAGAAATTTTCCAGAAAACAAAAACACATTTTTTTCACATATACGCAAAAATGACTAGCCTCAACCTTGGAGTTTTTTTGAGCAGCTTGTTCCGAGTGTTATTTGGTTCCAAACCCAATACTATTTTCAACTGCTTATTAGTTTACAAGTCCTGCAATGGAGGGCTCACCTTTTATTTGCCAAGGACACCAAGTGAGGCCAGATGGCTTGCCTGCTGGGACAATGGTTCTCAACCTGGCTGCCTATCAGAATTGCCTTGGTGCTTTAAAAATACGCATGCTCAGGCTTTACCACCTGGAGATCCTTTTTCTGCAGCTTTAGAGTAAATAGAACTTGATAATCTGGTGTGTGTGTGGGTAGGTGGGTGTGATATTTTTCTAAAATTCATTGTCATTTGAGATTTTCCTAAAATTTGTGTTGTACCACAGGCCTTAGATTTTAATTTTTTAAACAGTTTTATTTTGTTTTAACTGAGTTACTCTATTTGTACAGAATTGGCCCAACCAGATTGTAACTCCAGCTACAAAGACCAGGTAAAACTGCTTTAAAAATGCAAACAACGTATTTTACTATCTTAAATTAGGAATAAGTTTGCAGATTACTGACTTCTGTAGGTAATTATCACCAGAAAATAGGATTGCAGACATATTCATTATTCTAAAATATAATTATTCTTCTTTGGAGATTTTTTCTTCTGTTTCACAAATAACTATACCATATAACCCATCTATACATTTAGTTATCTAGCCATACAATGTATTTGGGAGGATAAATACAGAATTAGCATTGCTCATTGTGAACCTTTCATTTTATATGTATACTTAACTAAGAGTTTACAGTGGTTTGGCCAAGGTGACCATGTTTATAACTGCCTTAGAACATTTTAAACCAAAGCTATTTTTATGATGTTACATGATTGAAACAGTAGTACCTTGACTGTAAATTTATTGATACCCTGAATAAGATCCAGAACTCTTTTCTGCAGAAAAGCTCAGCCTTGCTAAGGAGTCCTTATTTAAGGGAGGAGGTAGGATGGCCTTCTACCTAGCCATGTTCTCCTGACAGTAATAGTCCTTAGCTTCAACAAAAGAACATTAATCCTATCCTTAGGATTGATAACTAAGACATAAGGCTTCTTAGACAACAAACTATATAAAGGGACTTCAAAAAGTTCATGGAAAAATGGAATTAAAAGATAAAGATAAAAATATAAATTTTATTTCTCAAAATAAGCTCCATGAAGGTCAAGATACTTTTGTAAGCAATGATGCCAGCCAGTTAGTCCACCCTTAGAGATCTGAGGATCCTTGAAATTTAAACACATCAATGCAGTCTTTTTTATATTATTAGCTGAAACAAAAATGGGTGCCCTTTAGAGATTTTTTAAGATGAGAAAACAAAAAGAAGGAAGAAGGAGCCAAATTAGTACCATAAGGTGGATGCCTATTAATCTCCCATGGAAATGCTCACAAAATTGCCTTTGTTTGGTGAGGGGAAAGAGTAGGAGCATTTTTGTGGTACAGAAGCACTCCAGTGAAGCTTTCCTGGGTGTTTTTCTGCTAAAGCTTTGGCTAACTTTCTCCAAACACTCTCAAAATAAGCAGATGTTATCATTATTTGACCCTCCAGAAAGTAAACTAGAAAATGCCTTGAGCATCCCAAAAAACTTTACATGACCTTTGCTCTTGACCAGTCTGCTTTTACTTTGGACCATTTCCCTCTCTTGGTAGCCATTGCTTTGATTGTACTTTGTCTTCAAGATCATCCTGGTAAAGCCATGCTTCATCTTCTGTTACAGTCCTTTAAATAAATACTTCAGGATCTTGATTCCACTTGTTTAAAATTTCCATTGAAAGCTCTGCTCTTGTCTTCAGGTTATCTAGGCACAATAGTTTTGACACCTATCAAATGGAAAGTTTGCTCAATTTTAATTTTTTAGTCAGAATTGTGGAAACAGAACCAGTTGAGATGTCTGTGGTGTTAGCTATTGTTTCTGCCGTTAACCATTGTTTTCAATGAGGGTACGGAAAAGATTAATTTTTTCCTCACAAATTGATATGTTTTGCCACTGCAGACTTCATCTTCAACGTTGTCTCATCCCTTCTTAAAATGAATTATTCGTTGGTAAACTACTGATTTCTCTGGGACATTGTACCCATAAACTTTTTGTTAAGCATCAGTGATTTACTATTCTTCCACCCAAGCTTCACCATAAATTTTATGTTTGTTCTTGCTTCAATTTTAGCAGAATTCATGTTGTTCTGATGGGGTTCTTTTCAAACTGATGTCTTATATGTCTTAATCCTTCAAACTAGGTCCTGTTCAGACATGTTATAACAAGTTAGGACACGTTTATTTTGGTGCAAAAAAGTCTGAAATCCATACATAGTTTTTTATAATAATATGCATTTTCCATAAACTTTTTAAAGATCCCTCCTATATAGACTGAGATGCGCTGCAGGGAGCTGTCACGAAATACAATCTCCAGTTCACTGCAATTCAATCTTTTATCCAAAATTTCAGTTAGAGAAACAATATTGGATGAAATGGATTAAATGTTCACACATCTAGACAGCCAAAAGTAGATCCCTGGATCAAGACAGACATCTAGAGACATAAATCTTCTCAGAATTCTTTGTGTTAAATCATGACTTAAGGGAATACCAATAGTTTGTTGAGGATTTCTAGAATGAACAACCTTGAAAATGTGTTTCTGTGCCTATTATATGGACATTGCTTATCAAATCAGCAAGACCGTTTTCCTCAAAATACTTTTGTTTTAATAGCATAATCTAGTAATAAAGACAACACATGCTCATTGAGTAAAATTCAAACAATATAAACTATAAAAATAAAATAAAAACACACCTAAATCCCCCCTTCAAAAAAAAAGACTACTAGTGCTGCTGCTACAATTACCACTTAGAGATAATTATTGTTAATATTTGGACAAAAATCCTGAGACATAAACGTGATCTTTATTTCACATGTTATTTTCAGTCTGATTTTTTTCACTTAAAATATCTTAATGAATATTTTGCACATTAACCTTCTCAGTGACTACGCATTACTCTATTGTATGAATGTGCCAACATTTATTTTTAACTTTATTGAGGTATAATTGACAAATAAAAATTGTACATAGGGTACAATATGGTGTTTTGATATATGTATACACTGTCAAATGATTACCACAGTCAAGCTAATGAATATATCCATCACCTCATACAGTCATGAGCTCTACTACGTGCTCTACCATTTGTACCAAAATTTATTAAGCAAATATCCTATCAATGTACTACTAGTTGATTATAATTTTTCACATTAATATAAATGGTGCTATGTTAAACACATTTGTACAAACATCTTTGTACAATTATATAATTATATCCTTATCACAAATTTCTAAAAGTAGTATTCCTGAACCAAAGAATATATACCTATCAATACATATGGCTAAACTGACTCAAAAACATTATCCCAATGTACCCTTTTCTACTAAAAGTCCTGAGAGTGACCATTCTCTCTACCTACTCCCACCAGTTAGTCAAGTTTTTTTTACCTCTTTCATACTAATAAGTGAATACATTTTCAAATGTAGACTGGCCTTTCACATTTCTTCTTATATTAATTGCCTTTTCATGTCCTTAGTCCATTTTTCTACAGAGGAATTTATCCTTCTCTTCATTATTTATAAAACTATCTACATAGTAGAGCTCATAACATTTTGAGTGCCACAAAAATTGCAAGGGTTTTTGTTATCCTTGTTGTTGTTGCTGTTGTTTGTTTGTTGTATTTAATAGCTTGTTATTTGCTAATTGGAAAAGAAGATGGAAAGCATAATGTGCCACTGACTCTGTAAATTTCCACCTTATCTCTCAAGACCCACTTCAATCCCACATCTTTTCCTAAAGCCTTACCTCCTTTGCCATCCTAATGTGATTTCTCCCTCTACCTACCTTTCAACTCATTATACAATTTATTTGGCAATTTATCCCATAGTGCCTGATGACATACCTAAGAATTGTCAGTTACATGCAAGTCCCATCTGTCCACACCAGCAACCAACTCCTTAACAGGAGTGTACCTTTAACTTTTGTATTCACTCCATTCCTTCAAATAGGTGTTCAATAAACAATAAATAAAGGCTTATTTTTAAAATGAATAGAAGGGAAGGTAAGTGACAAAGGTCATCTCAGATTTTCCAGGCTGGAAATATGCTTGGCAGAAGCATTCGGCCAGGCAGGTTCTGGAACTCCATTTTACTGCTTGCCTCAGCATTCTGATCCTAGATAAAACTTATTCCAATGATGTCAAGTCTATTTTATTTATCAAAAGGGCATCCATATATTCCAGTTTACTCAAAGCAGGCTCAGTTTAAGCTTGCCATAATAATTACCATAACTGTGTAATTATTAAAAGTGCCGCCTTTCACTCTCAAAAGTTTCAGATGATAAATTATATTCTCATCCTATTTATTACTGGCTCTGGTTCCTTATTTATTTCCTAGGCCTAAAATTTACCACAGAATTTAACAGACTTGGTAGATGAAGATCAAACTTTCTAAGTATGATATGAGTTTGGGGTTGTTAATTATGCATTGTTAATTAAACCTCTTTTCTTGGTTTAATTAATCAAATTTTTATGATAGCCTAACCTCAAAGAATTAAGGGAAACATTCAATACACAGATAAAGACATTTGCCATTTATGTGATTTTTTAGAAGTAGGTCATGAAGTTTATTGTTATTGTACACATTTTCTTCAACTAGATTGAGAACTTTTTGCAGTACCATTAGTCTTACTTTTGTATCCCTTCCTCATCTCACTTAAAACAGTACTCTGTACTCAGTGAGCATGCAACAAATTCTGCTGTGAAACCACTGGGGGCATGGAGATTTTAATTTGCTTTTTGATTAAGGGTGTCCTTCCCCTTGACTCCTACCATGTCATCACAGACATGTGAGGGGATAATACCGATTAGAGTGCTAAATGGGAAGTGGTATCATGAAAACCCAGTTGAATTTTAAGATTCACTTTTATGTCTTCGGCTCACTTGTCCATGGATACAGCTCATCTAAATTAGATGTGTCTGAAAATTCAATTACCCCAATGGAAACATCTGGATCCTTTTTTCTTCCTTTAATCCTTTGTCCTAGTGACTCTGCCAGACAGTCCATATCCCTTGTTGGTTTGGCAGAAAACCTATAAGGGCATAGTTAGAAGTGGGAGTTGCTGATGGAAATGTTGCCTTGTCTATTTTTTCAGTAGATTTGGTCACTTTCCTTCTCTATATATTAGAATCACAGATTTTTATCAAAATATAGACCTTAGAAGAAAAGTTACTGTAACTTCATATTTTATAGAGGGAGTAATTTGAAGCCCAGCAAAATGAAATGAGCTGTTCACAGATACATATGTGATGATAGCAGGTCTGCACTACAACCCTTTTCTCCTGATCCCCAATCTGGAGCACTTTTCAGTATATCAGATTCTAGATACTGTTCGAATATTAGCTATTGCCCCATTTCAATTTGTAATACTGGTGCTTAGCTGATTTTATCAATAAAAATCTGTTCGTTTAAAATAAATTTCAATGTTATGAGAAACAAGAAAGTTTTTTTGTAAAGTATGATATTTTTAGTAGATACCAAAGGATAAAATTAACTTCCTTTTTGAGTAAAATATTCCAGCCAAACTCAGACAGACATGTTTATGTGTGTTTATAAACTAGGAGAGGATCAGAGAAAATAGAATCTGATAGGGGAGATCAGAGCCTAAATCATAAACCATCATGTGCATCTCATCTCTGCCCCAGAATCCTTTTCACAAAAAAAGAAAAGCTCTGGGAACAAAGAATAAAGGAGAAATAGACATATATTTGACCTGTGATTTTAGTTTTAACTTAGGAAAAGCAGATAATGAAATCTTATTATAATTATATCTGTAGGGGACAGAGACAGCCCATTTAGATAAGGCTGAATACCTAGTTTTCTAAACTGAAAAGAAAGGTTTTGATTCTTTGGGCAAGCTGTGACCTCATGTGGTGGAGAGGCTACAAAATACTACTGACCAAGAGGAGCAATTTTTATATAAGCTACCACATGTCTGAGAATACTGAAGAGACATTTAAAAGTCTGTTTAATCCTATTTTGGACATAATTCTTATCTTTTCTTCTCTCAAAAAATGTTCAAAATGGCCCTTTCTGTTTCTAGAACACTTTAGAAAATTATATGAAAATACATCTCGTTCATGTACAATATTTTTAAGTCTTTATTGATATAACTACTCTTAGGTGTAAGTTGATCTTCTTCCCATCTGCATCTGCCTTAAGGCTGAGATATCATCTTGAGATTGTGAAGGAGGAATATATGATATAAAGAACATAAAACTAGAGTGAAAAGGTGCAGGAAACAAAAGTCCCATCCATCCAGTCAGAGGGAGAGGGCAGGGAGAGTGACTGGTGGCAGGGGCAGTTAGGAGGAGAAAGTCAGGAGAGGAAAAAGGAGGGGGGACACATGAGTCATAGTGTCCTTTCTCCAGCATTTGATCTAGAGGATGGTAGAGAGGGAATATTAGATGAGTGGACGGGAAGGCTGAAAGC
Source organism: Homo sapiens (assembly GCF_000001405.40). Classification (NCBI taxonomy): domain Eukaryota; kingdom Metazoa; phylum Chordata; class Mammalia; order Primates; family Hominidae; genus Homo; species Homo sapiens. The sequence goes on from NC_000007.14 coordinate 91,610,288, forward strand.
AGAGGTGCACCTGCTCTGCTTCCTGTTTTGTTCCCTGGGAGGAATCCACTGAGCAGGGTGCTCTATGACAACATGGGGCAGGCCTAGCCATGTAAAGAGGCCACACAAGTCTGGCCAAAGGAGAGAGCCACCTCTCTAGCTCTCAGGTGGGCAACCCAGAGAAGATTCCACATTCTCCTAGGGAGGGAGGGGTGGGGAGGAGGGCAAATGGATGAGCTGAGATCCAGAAAGGCTGGATAGGGCCTTACCATGGGAAGAGGTGAAGGGAACCTGCAAAGAGCTTTCAGGGCGAACTACCAAGGCCCAGGAACTAGACGGAGGATATGGACACTCAGTAATCTTCACAAAGAACAAAAGTGGGGACAAGGCAGCAGAGAACAGCCACTTGACCCTGCCCAAGCTGGGAAATAAGAAGAAAGGAGCATGTGTGTGTTCATAAGACACAGATTTCCTAGTGGACACATGAAAAACCCTCATGATATTTGCATCTGAGAGCAGAGTAAGTTTAATTTTATAATCACTCAACATATAGTTATTCAGTATTTGGCAGCATAAAATTTACCATCTTAAAAAAATGAAGCTAGTCTAAAAGTCCTACCTGTGGAAAAGTTGCAAGGCCATCATCTACTGGTAATTTGCTCAAATTTCAATGAATATGATTCTTAAAGTCTGCTGACAATTTAAGAAGAAAGCACGAACCACAATTCATACACTGTGACAAATACCATTACAACTTCTCAATATTTACTTGAAATTCCTGTTGGTGTTCAGCTGTAAATTGAGAGTTTCCTAGGAAGTATACAGAAATATAAAACAAAGATTTTACTTCTAATTTTTTTTGTGTTGCACAAATTTCTTCATCTTGGAGATCAGTGAGGTCAGTGGTTGTGAAAACACATGTATAGGGAAGGTTATGCAAATATTTTGAGATTAAAAACTGCAAAGACTTTTTAACATCTATGAATTTTAAGGAAAAATATAACTAAAGAAGTCATATAGTCCAACCTAACATATCCAACAGAAATATAATACAAGTTACATATGTAATTTAAAATTTTCTAGTGTCTACATGTAAAAACAGGTGAAATTTATTTTAATAATATATTTTATTTAACACCATATATTCAAAATATTTATATTCCAACATGTAATCAGTATAAAAATTATTTTCTCATACCAAGTCTTCAAAATCCATGTGTGTTTTACATTTATAGTATATCTCAATGTGGATGCTAAATTTTCAATGGTCATAGTAAAATGTATTCCTACCAAAACGATAAATTTGTCTTAATAGAAAAATGTTACACTACTTCTGTTTCTAAATTTAAAACAATTAGAACTTCAGTTCCTTAGTCATATTAGCCACATTTGAAGTCCACAGTTGCCACACGTGGCCGGTGGCTAGACCGCACAGGTCCCACCTGATACGTAGCAAGGTGCCCAATTAATGTTTATTGAAATGAATGATTGCATAATCTGCCCAAATTCCACAGATTACTGGCTGCCACTTTCATACTTTTCCTTAAATAATTACTTGAGAGGAATTGAATATGGGAGAGGAAAATGAAAAGAGGAGCCAAAGGGTTTGGGAGAATTAAGGCACCCTTGATAGAATCAGTGACACTGGGAAAAAAAAAAACAAAACAAACAAACAAAAAAAAACTTGGTTCAGGAGGAAGAGGAAGATAAAGAACATCAGAGCTCTGAAAGTTCCCTCCCTTGAGGAACAAAGCTCCCTGTGATAATTAATAGCAGCTACAGAATTTTCCATCAGAACAGCTTGTATCTTTTGGCCCACACCATTCAATGGCTGCCCATAAACCTGTCCTATCTGTTCAAAAATCAGAGTCAAACCTCAGCTGTGCTGTGCTGTGCTGTGGTTCTGTTTGCCTGAGCTGTGAATCTTAAGATGTTGGTCTGAACTTTACACACACCTGTTCTCTCATAGCTTCTCTGAACCCTAAGTTTTAACTTGTGTGTACTCTACTTTTACTAGTGCCCTCCTGCCACCCTTGGCCGTGAGCTCTCTCTCTGACCCTGCTCCAGTGTATGCCTCAGAGCCTTGTAATATCCAGCCTAGTCCATCTACTTGGACTTCAGATCACACCTGTATCACTAGTTCTCCTGGATACCTTAGCATCTGAGGTAGGCAGCCTCTAAGATGGCCCCAATGAACTGCCTCCTAGGATCTATACCCTGTGTAATCCTTCCCCTTGAGTGTCAGCTGGAATCTAGCAGCTCACTTCTAACCAACTGAATACAGCAAACATGATAGGACTTAATTTCTGACGTTAGATTACTAAGTGCTGTGGCTTTTATCTCGGGCACCTTTTCTCACTCTCTCACCCACTTATTCTGAGGGAGGCTAGCTGAAATGTTGCTGTCTACCCTATGGAGATGCTCACATGGCAAAAAACTGAGGGAAGTCTCAGCCCAACAATCCCCGAGGATCTGACTTCCACCAACAACCACATGAGTGAATATGGAAGCAATCATGTGCTCTCCTCCAGTCAAGCCTTCAGATGAGACTTCAGCTCTGCTCAACACATTGATTGCAGCCTTGTGAGTGAACTCCCTTGAGGAAGAGGCATCTACATAAGCTGCATCCAGATTCCAAACTGACAGGAGCTGAGTGTTTTAAGCTACTGAGTTTGGGGGGTAAATTTTTCAGCTGCAATAAATAAAACTAATACAGCACGAGACATTAATTTTCTTATAGAAAACTCATGTAAATGATCCCATGAATGATGAATTGAATTTTGGACATTTAAAAATGATTACAAGATATTCAAAACAGAATGTCCACATGATATTTGGTAATAGCAGACCTGGAACCTAGGGAAGAGAGAACGATAAATCCTCAGCATCAAGGTTATAAAGAAAGTCATGACAATATGTCAACTGTCTTGGAAGACTTTGAATGTAAATAATAAGCATTTGTCAAGTAGATGAAGGGAATAATTTATTTCTTCCCTCTTAAGTCTCACTTGGTGAAGAGCAGGGAGCTCACACGAAACACTTGACCTGTGGCTTAACCTTCCCCCCTTTAGCCCACACTGTGATTTGCCTGTGTAATGCTTTGCCCTTTTTTCTATTGGAATTTTCTGTTGTTGTTGTTGTTGTTTGTTTTAATCTCTTTGCTATATTATGGGTATTAACCCCTTTTATAAATATATTTTCCGGCTTATCTCTTGACTTTCATCTTTATTTATGGCCTCTTTTTCCATTTGTATGTTTTTAATAAGTCATTCCTTTTATATATTCAGGCCTTGGCAACATGCTAAGGAAAATGATCCTTGCTTCAAGATTGTAAAAATGTTCTCTCTTTTTCCTTCTGCAATTTACATGATATGGATGTCTAAATCCTTAAACTACTTAGAATTTATTTTTTACTACAGTGGTAGTTACCTAACCTATTTTTCCCTAAACTGTTATCCAATTGTAACGGTGATATTTGTTATTTAAACTTCTCGTTAATTTCATATGCCATCTGTTATCTTATACTATATGCCCCTATATATGTGTAGTTTCTAGGTCTTTTATTCCACTCATTGATCTATTTGTCTATTTCTAGGCAATACTACAATTTTAATTACAGTATATTTAGGGTATGTGCTTATGATTTTTAATGCAATTCTCCTATTATTCTTTTTTCCTCCATAGTTTTTGGGCATTCTTTTACATTTATTTTTCAAGATAAACAATTTGATCAGATTTTCAAGATAAAAAACAACTGGTTGGGAACATTGCTAAAATTTTATTAAACTTACGGTTTTACTTGTAGAGAATCTTTATAACTCTGCATCTTCCTATTCAGGAACATATCATTAGAAAATAAGATGAGATATTGGTGGAAAAGAATTGAATTCTGCCTTGGCAGAATCAACCCTTTTTTCCCAAAGAAGGCAAAGTAAGGAAAAATAATACTTTATTATTAGCTGACACTTTGGCCCTGCACCATATTCAGACTTCTGGTAAGCTCATCTGGGCAAAGTGGGGATATCCTCTTTAAAGCTACATCAGTGTGAATGGCCTAGCATCAAAGAAGAATCTGCTCTGCTCATGCCACACGTCACCAGTCCTCTTGCTCTTTGTTGCACCACCCTTCCCACCACCAACTGATAATAAATCCCAAATATTAATACCAAACCTTGCTATGCCAGTGGGATGATATGTCACTCCCATCAGCACTACGGAAAGAGGATCTGGAGAGATACATGGAAAGAGAAAACACATTTTCCAGTCGTTAAAAGTAATATCTGAAGTAAAACCAGCTAAGATAGAAGAGAGAGACCCAGTGAAAGAAAGAGAAGCAGCCAAGCTTGATGGAAAAAAACAGAATTGGGGCCACTTATGTTCTCACTGCACGTGCAGACAAATATAAAATTTCCAGTTCTTTCAAAGCTCCACCCTCAGAAAAAGTGACCTAATCAGTTATGTGAGTCGCACCAACTGGATCAGCATTCCTCTCCATTAGGTATGAGGCACAGATGTAATGAAGGGGTTCAGAGAGGACTCCTATTAGAAGTGGACAAGTATTTTTTTACGTACATTCAGAACTTTAAACCCTTTAGTGAACCCTTATGGTGTTTTTCATATAAATGTCACACATCCTTTGTCAGGTTTATTCCTGGGAATATTAATGATTACATTGTTATCAGGGATTAAATTTTTTAAAGGTATTTTCTAAACAGGTTATTTATTAGTAAATAAAAGTAATTATGTTTTGCATGTCTATTTTTATCCAACCCCATTGAACTCTCAGTATTTTAATTCTCTGGAATCTTCCAAGAATACAATCACTCTCTAGAAAATAAAATAGTAACTTGATCACTTTCTTTCTTTTCATTTATTTCAAAATACATTATACCCACACAAAAGCACATTATAACACACCTGTACATTTTAAATAATAATAATAATTTAAAAATAAAATAAATTCTATGTACTCCCCAAGCAAATAGCACACCACCAATTCATTTGTAGCTCTTGTGTGTCCCTTCCAGAAGTAACTACTGCCTTGAATTTTGTAGTAATACTAATATCCTTGCATTTTAATGCATGTGTGTGTGTAATTTTGTTTTGTCTGATTTGCAACTTTATGTAAATTGAATTATACTGTATATATTGTATGTCTTGCTTTTTAAAACATTTTTAAATAACAAATAATTGTGTATGTTTATAGGGTACAATGTAATGTTTTAATCTATATATTCATTATGGGAAGATTCAATCAGGCTAATTAACATATCTACCACCTCACCAATGTATCATTTTTTGTAATGAGAACATGAAAAATCTATTGTAGCAATTTTGAAATATACATTATTATTAACTGTAGTCACCATGCAGTTCAATAGATCACTAAAACTTATTCCTCCAGTCTAACTGAATCTCTGTACCCTTTAATCAACATCTTCTCATTCCTTATCCTTTCCCCTCCCCCCAGCTTCTGGTAACCAGCTTTCTACTCTCTGTTTCTATGAAATTGACTTTAGATTCCACATGTAAGTGAAACACAGCATTTGTCTTTCTGTGCGTGGCTTATTTCAGTTAACATAATGCCCTCCAGTTCCATCCATATTGTTGCAAATGACAGATTGTCCTTCTTTTTTAAGGCTGTATCATAATCCTTTGTGTGTATATACCACATTTTCTTTATACATTCATGTATTGATAGGCACTTAGGTTGCTTCCATATCTTGGCTACTGTGAATTATGCTGAAATAAACATGGGAATGCAGATACCTGTTTGGCAATGAGAAAAAGATATGAACAGATATTTCTCAAAGAAAATATATCAATGGCCAACAGATATATGAAAAAAAGGTCAACATCTCTAATCATCAGAGAAATGCAAATTAAAACCACAATGAGATATCACCTTGTGCCTGTTAGAATGGTTATTATCAAAAAGACAAATGACAAATATTAGTGAGGATGTGGAGAAAAGGGAACCCTTGTACATTATTGGTGGGAATGTAAATTAGTACAGCCATTTTGGAAAATAGTATGGAGGTTACTCAAAAAACTAAAAATAGAACTACTATATGTCAGCAATCCTACTTCTGTGTATATATCCAAAGGAATGGAAATCATTATGTGATGTGCTTATTTATTCCCATCACTATACTTTTGAGATTTACCCATTTTGTAGGAAGTAGTTGTATTTTGGCCATTTTCTCCACTGTACTATATTCTTTTGTAACAATACATTACAATTTATGTATTCAACATACTCTTTGTAGATATCTAGATTTATTTTCTTTTTGTTTTTTTTTTTCCTGTTACAAATAAGGCTAGCTTGAACATTCTTGTGTACATATCCAGATAAACATGTTCAGGAGTTCCTCTGGAATACATACACATGAGAGTGGAATTGCTATAAGTAGGGTATATGCACTTGTTCAACTTGTCCAGGTAGAATCAAATGTTTTCCAAAATGATTTTACTAAAGCACACAACCACCAGAAATGTGTTTATGTTCCCATTGCTGCACATTCTTGCCAAAATGTAATATTGCCCAATGTTTTCCTTTCTTAAATTTTAAAATATTTAATTAACAAATAAAGATTATATACATTGAAGATCTAGAACATGAAAATTTAAATATGTATACATTGTGTAATAATATCACAATCAGATTAATTATTTTTTAATGTTTGCCATCTGATGCTGTAAAATGATGTCTCTAATTGGCATTTTCCTGATTATTAGTGATGTTTAGCATATCTTCACAATTATTGGCCATGTGTGCTTTCTCTTAAAAAATTGCCTCTTTCTGTCTTTTGCATTTTTCTTTTTTGTTGTCTTTTATCATTGAAATCTTTCTGATTTGTAGAAATTTTTCATATATTCTGAATAGTAATGCTTTTTGATTATGTCTTACAAAAACATCTCTCAGTTTATAGCTGTCTTTTTTTTTGGAGTATTTTTTGAGAAAAAAGAAGTATGTCATTTTAAGGTGGTCAAATTTATATATCTTCTCCAAAAAATGGGTTACATTCTGAGTCTTATTTAGGAAATTATTCCCTATTCTGAGGTCATGCAATTTTTTCCTTGTATTTTAAGTTTTTGCCTTTTCCATTTAAGACCTTGATTCATTTAAAATTTATTTATGTATAGAAAATGAGGTAGGAGTCCATTTTCACTTTGGTCCATGTGAATAACATATTGGCTTGGTACTAGAGTTGCCAGATTTAGCAAATAAAAACACAGGACACCCAGTTTAATTTGAATTTCAGATAAAAATGAATATTTTAGTATAAGTACGTCCTTTGCAATATTTTTTATTTTTATTCTTTATTTTTTTATTTTTTTGAGACGGCGTTTCACTCTGTCCCCCAGGCTGGAGGGCAGTGGCATGATCTCGGCTCACTGCAATCTCCGCCTCCTGGATTCACGCCATTCTCCTGCCTCAGCCTCCCGAGTAGAGTAGCTGGGACTACAGGGCCCGCCACCACGCCCGGCTAATTTTTTTTTTATTTTTAGTAGTGACGGGGTTTCACCGTGTTAGCCAGGATGGTCTCCATCTCCTGACCTCGTGATCCGCCCTCCTCGGCCTCCCAAAGTGCTGGGATTACAGGCGTGAGCCACCGCACCCAGCCACCTTTGCAATATTTTGAACGCACTTATGCCAAAAAATTATTTGTTGTTTATCTGCAAATCAAATTTAACTGACATCCTGCATTTGGTCTGGCAACCAGACCAGGTACCATTTATTAAATAATCCATTCTTTGTTGATCTGTAATGTGACTTTTGTCATTTTTCAGATTTCCATGTATCTGTGGATGCTTCTGTATTCTCTATTCCGTTCCAATGTCTATATCTTTCCTAATTATAATAGCTTTATATAGGACTTGCCATCAGGCTGCTCAAGTCCCCCAACCTGATTTTTCATATTTGTTTATTGATACCCCCTGTCCTATGTTAGATACTAATAGTAAAACTGGACATTTTCAACTTGTTCATCACTTTATTGCGACTGCTTCTAGTTCTCCTTCATTAGTCATATGGCAGGTTTGTTGGTTGAGATATATAAATATATATCATAATAGGGAAATATCCATCTATCTATTCCTATTTAAGAGGTTTTTAAAATAAAAAAAGGAAAATTAAAATTATTGCATTCACTTTCAGCATCTTTGGAGATTATTACAAGAGTACAAAAAATTATACTATATTAATAAATTATAATTAGGTAATTTTTTAATTTTTATATTTAAATTGATCATAGTATATTAGTCTTTAAATATGCTCCTGGGTTTTGTTTGTTAATTTATTTAGGATTTTTAAAAATGCTATTTATAACAGTTTGGTTTTAATTTTTCCTTTTGGGTGCATATGTATGTGTATGTGAACTCAAGTGAAAGAGTGGAAAGGGGGAAGAATGGATACAAAAGGGTAATTCAGCATGTATAACTTTGAAAAGATTAAGTATTGCATACAAATACAGTACAGCAGAAATCAGCCTTCTCTCTCTCTCTGTCTCATACACACACACACACACACATACACACACACACACACATACACACACACACACACACACACACACATACACACACACACACACACACACACACACATATGCCATGCCCCCTCCCAGAAACCCCTAAGAAAGAGCTTCAGAGCAGATGGAAAACATTTGATTTTATTCCAAATCCTCGTTTTGCAAACAAAGAAGCTGAGTCTTAGAAAGATTAAGTGTTTGTCCAAGTTCACTTACCTGGTCTTTCTGAACAGCATCTAAAAATTGAAAGGGAATAGGTCCTTGAGGGAAAGCTAGAGGAACTTTTAAGTTAGAGAAAAGGGGCTGACTGGACATTTCATTACTGTCTTCAAAATGATGAAGGGGGTTTAAACAAGTAATGACAAGCTGTCCTTTTCAATGCTTGTTCTGGGCAAGAGAAGTAAAATGGCTTTAATTAATTCAAGAGGGATTTAGGTCAATACTAAGAACTCCCTGAATGAATGAATTCCAAGACAATAGAAGGGGCTGCCAAAGGAAGTTGTGGAAGAGCTTTTCCTGAAGCTGGTAAGAAAAGTATAGATCGTTGCTTTTCTGCAATTATTTCAGTACTGTTAGGTTGAACCAGATGAAATTCTTTTTTTTACTCAGTTCAAATAGGTTATCTCTCTCCCTCATTTTTGGGTCAGACCCCATCAGAAGAGTAGTTATACAGAAACTTTTCCCATGGTCAGTGGCTTTGGGCCAGCGTTTATATAAATTATTGCTAAGCTTTGACATCACTATATGAACTTTTCTAGTCCAGGGAACTGCATTGCTCAACTCTATGGGGATTTTTCTATGTAACCATCCTCTTATCACTTTCCATTTCCAAGAAATGTTCGATTCCTGAAAACAATGGAAACCGTTAAAACAATCAGTCTAATCATACTAAAGAACTGGGATTTTCTTTCAAACGAAATGGCACAATTAAGTATTTGCCAAGAACATGTGCAAGTAAAAAGAACCAAGAATAAATCCTCTGGTTTTGCTTACTCATCTTGACGGGATATAACAAATTTGAAAGGGGTTAAACACTATACAGCCCTAATACATAATCCAGAGACTCCATCTTTGCCTTTTGCAATATCCCTGAGGTTCTCAGCATGGTACCATACGTCCTATCAGACTTCCCAAATACTGCCATCCACTCTGTTTTTACCCTTCTGGGAGTCTTCACCATCTATTGTTATAACCATATAGCTTAGCATTTAATCCTATTAGGTCATATGTTTGTGTGTGCATCTTAATCTCTCCCACACCATAAACTCCTCAGTTCAGTGACCTTCACTTCTACAACTTTACGAGTATAGGGATCTTTGTCGTAGAGAGTCTAAGTCTCTGTGCACCTTATTGCTTCATCTGTAAATGAGATTTGAAATTCCTATTCATATTGTTGTCAGGAGAACTAAATAAGTAAGGTGTTTGAAAAAGTACCTTGAATAGATTAGATTCTTAATGATTGGTTGCTTTCCTGACCTTTTATATCAAATACAGTTTCTAGCACTGTGCTGGGCACATCAATGCTAAAGTCATTATCCTCCCCCACGCCCCCCCACACACTCCTGACCGGTGTTCTCCATCCAGGCACTCAAGGTAGAAACCTCACTTCAACCTTGGTTTCTTTTTCTTCCTCGCCTGTCACATATGGCAGTCACTGAAGTCTGCCAATTTTACCTTTTACTTTTACATTTCTTGAGTGTATCTGCTCCTGGCCACCTTTAGTATCATTACCCCAGTTAAAGGTGGGTATACTGCAATCTCCTTCAAGATGGCTACAATTCGCTCTGTTAATTACAAATTGGTCAAGGTCACTCTCCTGCTTAAAACCATGCAGTGCCTTCCCACAGCATGCAAGCTCCTGATACGTCCCACCAAGACCCACTGAGACCTGTCTGTGGCCCACCCTCCAACTCATTTCCCACCACTCCCTGCGTCACAGGCTATAATTCAACAAAACCTCTCTCTCTCTCCCTCTCTCTCTCTCTCCCTCTCTCTCTCTCTCTCTCTCACACACACACACACACACACACACACACACACAGAGAGAGAAGAGAGAGAGAGACAGAGAGACAGAGAGAGAGGGAGAGAGAGAGAGAGCCCTTCCCAGGTGCCCCCTCTTCCTGGATATTTTCAAAGTCATATTTCTAGATCATGTGAGTCCTCTGTAGAAACTGCTTCAATGACTTCCCCATATGGAAGGTATGTGGCCTCCCAGGCCCTCCATGCTCTGGCCACTCCCACCTCTCCAGCCTCAGCTTCTTATATCTCACCTTCACTCACCAAGCGCCAGCCACACTTACCCTCTTTAGGATTATCAATCTAGACAAGCTCATTCCTGGCCCAGGGCCTTCAAGACAAACAAGCTACTCCCTCTGCCCAGATTATTGGTTCCTTTACTCTTTGTCTAACACCCATTCATCAGACCTCAGCTGAAATATTTTCTCAGAGAAGCTTTTCTTGTCCCTAATCTCACTTATATCCTCCTAAACTCACTCATAGCACCAGCCATGTTCATTCATAAAAATGATCAGTTCTTAATTACATTTATTTACAAAATATACACTCTAAACTATATGAGAAGCAGAATCAGGCCAGGGTTTTGTTTGATTTCTAGCCTGTGTATAACTAGCACCTACAATAGGCAACATATAACAAATGAGTGAATAAATTAATTGCATTTACCATATTATTTTTTAATTATCTGTATTAGTGCCTATTTCTTCCACTAGTTGGTATTCCTTAATTGCAGCATTGAATGTCACATAAAGATGTTCAATATATTTTATTGAATAAATGCCCAACAAACAGGTGTTGAATAACTGATTAAGAGCTGATTTTTGCAACTGGTATTTATTCAAGATATTTCAATATTTAAAAAATAACATTATTTATAATTTTAAGTAACTTAATATTTTTCAAATTGGCCTTTAATAATAGCTTTAATTCAGAGTTATAAGAGGGATGAAGACAGACATATTTCCAGGAAAGTCATCCCAATATATATGGGAAATTTCTAATTACGTTGCATAAGGATTTGCTATATAGTCAATTCATCGAAGCTATTAGTCCATTCATTTAAAGCTTCTAAAAGGGCTTTACTAATATTAAGTGAATTGCCATTCTGGTATTCTCAAAGCCTTCTGCCAAAAAATTTTTGTATTAAATAAATTTTTCTACCGGTGGTCTCTTCTGAACTACTAGTGTCATAAGTTTACAAAATTGTTTATTGTACATTTTCAACTTTATAGATAAGATTATTTATAATATCTTTTTGAAGTTCCAAAGTGGTATATTTAGATCTAGATACTATTCCAGGGATTAAAGTTCAAATATTGGGGAAAAGGTATTCTCTCTAGAGGTTTTTATTTTGAAAAAGGAAGAAAAATGATATATGCTCTATCAACAAGAGATTCTTGAAGTAATACACACAATTAAAGCCTTTAAATTAAATATGCAAACAAATTAGAAGTTACCAGGATGAAATGAAGAGTCTTTATCTAGTTAAGTGTCTTCCAGCAACTGGAGTCATAGCTCCCAATGGATACATTTGTCTGGAGCTGTATTGTAACCTGCTTTCCAACGAAGCATCTGATTAATTCCTATTTCCCTTCCAGTTCCATAATTATTCTCCTTGGCCTCCATTTGGGAAAATATCTAACGGTTGTGTGAACCCTTGAACATTTCATTGCCTTTGAAAAATCTGATTCCACCCTAAAAATGCTTCTGTGTTTATTTGCGGTGCACACATCTTTAAAAAAATTTTTTTTCAATAGAAATTGTCAGTTCCAAAGGCTCAGGAACAAAGGATTTTATGCTTTTTTTTCCTCTTTCTTTAGACCTCTTGCTTCAATTGAAAATAGAATCATTTTGAAAACCAATAATATTTAAGATTTCAGAATTACTGCCTGAGTGGGATTTTCTAATTTCTAATTCCAATTTTCCATTTCTAATTTTCCCTAAATATTCATCTTAGTAAAATAAATTGGTATTAGCTAAGAAGGGTGATTGTAATAGATAATAGGGGCAGATCTAGAGAAAAATTTTCTAAAACCGTGAAGTTGTGATATCCAACATTATCAACTACTTGGTGTTTTGTTTTAAGTTTAAAAATCAGTGCATTTACTAATAGGGTGTGTCCTACACATATAAAGCAGAAATAATTTTTCATTGAGATAACCAAAGGATTGGATTTATTATAACATAATTGTCATTTTGGTTCAGAATACAAGTATATCTATAATTAAGTAAGCACAAATAATAAAAATCTGTTTTGTTATCTTAAAAGTGTTTACATCTTTATTATATAAATTACTAAGGAAAAAACTAGGGCCCTCAAGAGATAAATGGATAAAAGGATAAAGTACATGGAATGAACAATTTACAAATAACCAAGAATGGACCCAATTATTATGTGCAAAGATGCTCTCCAATGTGTTGATTATAAGTTTACATTAACCTACCATATATTTCAAAATAGCTAGAAGAAAATAATTTGAATGTTTCTAGCATAAAGAAAAGACAAAGTTCCCAGTTACACTGATTTGATCTTCACAAATATATGAATGTATTAAATTATCACACGTACCCCACAAATGTGTAGATCTATTATGTCTCAGAAAATAATAAAAATGATAAATGATATAAATAAAAATTATAAATGTGAGAAATGGCTGAGATATTTCCGTATTTTATAGGTATAGAAATGTACATGATATTCTATGGAGTATTATATGGACATTTAAAATCACATATAGGATAAATTATTAATAATCTGGGGAAAGGGTTTTGTTATGTAAAAAAAGAATAAAATGTATATAATATGTAATTATATACAATGAGATCACAACTCTGTCACAAATAGACACAAAACAAATGCATATTTTAAAAGAGAGATTATTAAACCTTTTTCTCTATCGTGTTAGTTTAGTAACAGTACATGTAATTCAGCCAATCCAGTTTACTACATCCAGATTAGTTTATGGACAATAATGTTTTATATAAAATATTATTTCATTAATAAATGCATATTATACACAAACTGATTCTATGTGAAATAAATGTGAGATGTCATTGTAAATGCAGTTTGTAAATCTAAAGAGAGGACTTGAAGGAAATATATCTAAATTGTCATCAAAACTGAATGTTGGGATTGTAAGATTATATTTAATTCTTTATGCTTTTCCATATTTTTCTCTGTTTGTTTGTTTGTTTTTTGAGACAGGGTCTTGCTCTGTTGCCCAGGGTGGAGTGCAGCAGCAAGATCATGGCTCACTGCAGCCTCTACCCTCCAGGCTCAAGCGATCCTCCCTCAGCCTCCTGGGTAGCTGAGACTACAGGCGCATGCCACCACACCTGGCTAATTTTTGCATTTTTTGTAGAGACGGGGTTTTGCCGTGTCTTCCAGGCTGGTCTCAAACTACTGAGCTCAAGCGATCCGCCCACCTCAGCCTCCCAAAGCGCTGGGATTACAGGCGTGAGCCACCGTGCCTAACCCACTTTTCTATATTTTCTAACTTTTCTGCAACTAACATGTATTATTATTTTACCAGTCAGGAAAAAAACATTTCTAAGAATACTGTAACAAATGCAGAAATTCTGAGTAGTATAAAATGATGCTAAATGAGAGATAAAAAAATTAGGTCATTTCCATAACTTGTCTATATAAATTATATCTCACCAGCTGAACATTTGGCATCCTGTTAATAAATCATCAGCTAATTTTTATATGATGTATTAGTTTCCTGTGGCTTCTGTAACAAATCATCACAAACTTGGAAGCTTAAAACAACAGAAATGTATTCCCTCACAGTTCTAAAGGCCAGAAGTCTGAAATCAGTATCTCTGGGCCAAAATCAAGGTGCTACACTCCCTTAGCATGCTCTAAGGGAGAATCCACTCCTTGTCTCTTCCAATTTCTGATGGCTCTGGGCATTCCTTGGTTTCGGTCTGCATCACTGTCACTCTACTCTCTGTCTCCCTGCTCATATTGTCTTCTCTTCTGCTGAAATCTCCCTCTGCTTCCCTCTTCTAAGGATTCCTGTGAATGCATTTAGGCCCCACCCAGATAATCCAGAAAAATCTCCCCATCTCAAGATCTACAGAATCCTTCTTTGCCATCGTAAGGTAACATTCATAGGTTCTGGGGACTAGGATGTGAATATCTTTTGGAAGCTACTATCAACCAAATGTATTTGTCCCTCAAAATTCATATCAACAGATGAATGAACAAACAAAATGTAGTATATATACACAACAGTATTATTCAGCCTTGAATAGAAAATTTGAACACAGGCCGGGCTTGGTGGCTCACGCCTGTAATCTCAGCGCTTTGGGAGGCCGAGGCGGGCGGATCTCCAGGTCAGGAGATCCAGACCATCCTGGCTAACACGGTGAAACCCCGTCTCTACTAAAAATACAAAAAAATTAGCCGGGCGTGGTAGCAGGCGCCTGTAGTCCTAGCTACTCGGGAGGCTGAGGCAGGAGAATGGCGTGAACCCGGAAGGCGGAGCTTGCAGTGAGCTGAGATCGGGCCACTGCACTCCAGCCTGGGCGACAGAACAAGACTCCGTCTCAAAAAAAAAAAAGAAAATTCCAACACAGGCTACAACATAGATGACTCTTACAGACATTATGCTAACTGAAATAAGCTAGTAACAAAAGGACAAATAGTGTATAATTCCACCTCTATGAGGCACCTAGAGTAGTCAAATTTATAGATACAGAAATTGAGTGGTGGTTGCCAAAGGCTGGGGGAAGGGTTGAAACGGGGATTTAGTGTTTGATGAGCACAGAGTTTCGGTTTAGGAAGATGAAAAAGTTCTGGGAATGGATAGTGGTGATGGTTACAGAACAATATGAATGTACTTAATGCCACTGAAATGTACACTTAAATTTGTTTACGTGGTAAATTGTATTATGAATATTTTACCATAGTTTTAAAAAAAGTACTGAGTTGAATTTCCACATAACCTGTGACTATTGGGTTTGGAGCAAAAGTAATTGCGTTTTTTCCCATCACTTTCAATGGCAAAAACTGCAATTACTTTTGAACCAACCGGATAGCTTATTCTAACATTACATTACCATCTTACATAACCGTTGTGCAACTATCAAAACTAGAAAAGAACATTAGTACAACATTGTTAACCAGACTACAGACTTTATTTAGGTCTCATCAATAGTTCCACTAATGTCTTTTTTTTCCCCCCATTCTAGGATTTGGCACTTAAAACATTTTTGTAATAAAAAAATGTAAATCCTTTATAAAAGAATTTGCTATATGGTTTCTTTAAAGTGTAACCCCTATTATTATATTTAAAATATCTTCAAACTTACCAAAAAAAGTTCAGGAACTTCTCTGTTGTATAAAAAAAAGATGCTTTATACAACAGAATTGCGGTTTATAACAGAATACAGATTATTGGCTCAGGGGACCATATTAGTTCAAATTAGATTCTAACTAGAATTAAAAGCCAAAAGAAAACTTAAACAATATAGTTGTTTATTCCTCCCTCAGATGGGATTCAAGAGGCGAGCAGTCCAGAGGTTGGTTATATGGAAGCTCCATGGTGTCAAAATGTAAAGCTTCTTCTATCTTGTTCTGTATGCACAGCTTCCATTCCCAAGAACATGGTCCTTGATAGGCCTGGGAGCTCCAGCCATTACATCCACACTCCAGGCAGCAGGGTGTAAGAAAGCAGAGAAGAACGGCTTTCCCCTTTCCATAAAGGACAGTATCCTATATGCAAAAGTTGCACTTCCACATACACTCCATTGCCCAGAACCGAGTTGTGTAGCCACATCTAACTGTAAGGGAGGCTGGGGAGTATAATACATATTCTAGGTTGGCATGAGCCCTGGGGAAAAAAATCAGAAGGAAGCTGAATTACTAAAGAAGGCAGATGTAAAAAATAGATATTGGAGGTCAAGTAGTAGTGTGTCCAGAATTGGTGGGTTTTTGGGTCTCACTGACTTCAAGAATGAAGCCGCGGACCCTCACGGTGAGGGTTACAGCTCCTAAGGTGGCGCGTCTGGAGTTCGTTCCTTCTGATGTTCAGATGTGTTCGGAGTTTCTTCCTTCTGGTGGGTTCGTGGTCTCGCTGGCTCAGGAGTGAAGCTGCAGACCTTCACGGTGAGTGTTACAGCTCTTAAGGTAGCGCGTCTGGAGTTGTTCGTTCCTCCCGGTGGGCTCGTGGTCTCGCTGGCTTCAGGAGTGAAGCTGCAGATCTTCACAGTGAGTGTTACAGCTCATAAAAGCAGTGTGGACCCAAAGACTGAGCAGAAGCAAGATTTATTGCAAAGAGCGAAGGAACAAAGCTTCCACAGTGCGGAAGGGGACCCCAGTGGGTTGCCACTGCTGGTTCAGGCAGCCTGCTTTTATTCTCTTATCTGGCCCCACCCACATCCTGCTGATTGGTAGAGCCCAGTGGTCTGTTTTGACAGGGCCCTGATTGGTGCGTTTACAATCCCTGAGCTAGATACAAAGGTTCTCCACGTCCCCACCAGACTCAGGAGCCCAGCTGGCTTCACCTAGTGGATCCCGCACCAGAGCTGCAGGTGGAGCTGCCTGCCAGTCCTGGTGCCGTGCGCCTGCACTCCTCAGCCCTTGGGTGGTCGATGGGACTGGGCGCCGTGGAGCAGGGGGTGGCGGTCGTCGGGAACCTCCGGCCGCACAGGAGCCCATGGAGCGGGTGGGAGGCTCAGGCTTGGCGGGCTGCAGGTCCCCAGCCCTGCCCCGCGGGAAGGCAGCTAAGGCCCGGTGAGAAATCGAGCACAGCGCCGGTGGGCTGGCACTGCTGGGGGAACCAGTACACCCTCCGCAGCCGCTGGCCCGGGTGCTAAGCCCCTCATTGCCCAGGGCCTGCAGGGCTGGCCGGCTGCTCCGAGTGCGGGGCCCGCCAAGCCCACGCCCACCCGGAACTCCAGCTGGCCCGCAAGCGCCGTGCGCAGCCCCGGTTCCCGCTGGCGCCTCTCCCTCCACACCTCCCTGCAAGCTGAGGGAGCCGGCTCTGGCCTTGGCCAGCCCAGAAAGGGGCTCCCACAGTGCAGCGGTGGGCTGAAGGGCTCCTCAAGTGCCGCCAAAGTGGGAGCCCAGGCAGAGGAGGTGCCGAGAGCGAGCGACAGCTGTGAGGACTGCCAGCACACTGTCACCTCTCAGTAGTCTCTGCAACAAGAGGCATCCTTGATTCTGGACTCACACAAAAACCAGTCTGGAGAAAACAAGGAACAAAAAAATTTTCTCTGCCTTGATCATCAGCAAACATAAATTTTTATTACAGAGACGTTAAAGCAAAATATTATACTGTCCTTAATCCAGTGTATAGGCGCCTCGCTGGTGCCCACAGGAACTGCTGAATTAGAGCCAGTGAGTCTCTATCTTTAGATAATACAGCAGTCAATTTAAAATACATATATTGAGACAACTACAATGTTACTGAGGACATACTCAGAGCTAAGCTGGGTACTCTGAGGAATAGAACAAGAAGTCATTTTTTAATAAAAGGAAACACAGACTCTATGCTCTCTGGAGACTTACAGTTCTATTAAGGAGTTGAGATTTTCAAATGAATGACAAATGATAAATTTACAAAGGTAAACTCAGGGTTGGATTTGCCCAAGTCCCTTCCAATATCCATCACCTTCAAAAATCAGGATGCAGTTTTTGTGACTATTTAATAGCAATCCAATAGGTTGAAACCTATTGATAAGTTCAAATGCCTTACCCGATCAATCTTTAATAATTTTCATTCCCCTCTTGGCTTCTCTCATTAGGGAGAAAGTCCAGCTTGCACCCAGTTTTTGGTTCTTTATTTCAGAAATCTTCCCCCACCCACCCATATCCAACCTGACCTCACCATCTTGGCCCCCCTCACCACACAGGTCTCTTGAGAAATGAAAAATAGTCCCTCTTCACACACAAAACAAGCTGGTGCAGGTCTGGTTTCAATAAATCAGATTTTCTAAAATAATTTGAGCTCTTCAAGAAAACAAAATGCAAACGGACCGTAAATGTGTTTTAACTATTAAAAGAGGTAGGCGGATGTTCATTCTCTTTATCTGAATGAAAAATTTCCCTTCCTGACATTGAGTCATGTTCACTTTTCCCAAGAGGGAATAAAATGTTCCCTGTAAAAGCACAACCTTTTCTTTCCCATTGCTCTGGACGCATGCCAACATAACAGAAACAGCCAAATAAAGGGCTGTGATAAGCTCCTCAGGTACCAGGGGAATGTTATCAGAGGAAATCATCTTCCTCCCTGTGACAAGACGCATGGATCCTCAGCAAACTCACACAAAAAATGGGGCCCCCAAGGAGTAGAAATTCATCAAATACTCAGTGGGGAATTGTGCACAAAACAGCAATGGAAACCAGTGGGAATACAATTTTATTAACTCCAAAAAGTTGTACCAATTGGGTTCTTAGGAACAGTACCCAGATTGATGTTCTGGAGACAAAGGACTTTTAGTGACAAATACGATAAAATGTGTGAGAAAGACTTTGTTTGCTTAAGATTCCAGTATTAAATTTGGGGTCTATAAAATACAGTGTTTATATTATCTGCTGGGCCACAGCAGGGAATCACATATAACAAGGATACAAACTTAATACATACTACAACTTAGATGTGCAAAATTTTATAAATACAACCTCTTTTATTTTGTTTATAACTAAATGGGTCTTTGCCACATGCTGAATGGCAGAAAAGAAAAATAAATACATATCCAATCTGGTTGATATGGTACGAGTCTCTCCAGGAAGGAACGCTCAGTCTCAGATTTTTCAATCTTTCAGTTCTTTGCTTTCACTCAAGATGGTCAAGGATGGGGAAAAGGGCCTTTGCTGGAGTTGCCAGCTAGAGGCATTCTCAGGTAGCTAGGTGTAGTGTATTTTGGTGCCTCTGGTCTCTGGGGCAATGTCTTTTGTCCTCCAACTGGTATGTATGGATACTGTGATTCCAGGTCTGTTTTTTGACTTAAGAACTGCTCCCAGATTTCCAAATGGAAGTTTTCACACTATGACCTAGAAATGAATAGATATACATTCTGTCTTGGGTTTCCTAAGCCAGTCTCCTATAAAACAAAAATTTCATCCCAGGAACTCTTCCATCTAAGGGAACATATATGTTTTGAAAATAATTCATCCATTTCTTTGCTCCCATAAATACCTTTTGCCCAGGATTTATTCAAGAAAAAAGAAAGATTGCTACTTAATGTTTCTATTCCATTGGAGTGAGTGATTTATTCATTGGAGGTCTAAGTGATGATCATAGAAAGAAACATAGAGTACTAGAACTGGAAGGAACTAATCTCTATTTTATAGGACTGAAGAAACCAAGGCCAGGTTAACTGAAATGACTTAACTCAAGGCCACCTATTTAGTTATTGGCAGAGCTAGAATTTGAATCTGAGACCCCTGACTCTTAATTATACTACAAAAGTTTAAAAGGTAATTTTTAATTTATCTAAATTGTTACTGATTTCCCACAAACTAAATTGAAGTCTTTATTTTACTTAGCAGTAATTAAAATGTTAATGTGCATATTGTTATTCCCCTCTTTAGGTAACTAAATTGGGATATGACTGGCCTTTATTAATATTAATTAACTAAAAAGTCTTTAGCATTCATACAAATAGCTGTTTTAAAATCTAAACAGTTCTGAATCAGACTGTGAGAAACAGACACTGGTATTTTCTCCTGAGTCTTGGTATTATGTCTTTGGAATGCTTTATTCCAAGCAAGAGTTTTCAATGATACTAAATAAACTATTTTTACTCTTAGAAATTAGAGGAAAGAGAAAAAAATGCCCAAAGAAAGTATTTGGACCAATTGGTAATTGACTAATTCCAAAGAACATTTACACTTTATTTTATGCTTTCATATCGGTCCAAGAACAGAACTACCTATCTTCAACATTAAAATCCTCTTGAGAAACTCTCCAGCAGAGCTTGTCTCCAAGCCATGTCCATACAATTGGCTCTGTGTATAGTACATTTTTACCACTCACAATAGAAGGTATTGTTCTTTATAGCTAGTGAAATTAATTATTTGAGCACCCCAGGATGTACAACATGAAAGAACAGCTATATAGATTTTCAGGGTAGTATATAATATGCCATGGTGAATTATTGACTCTAATGAGAACATCTTTAAAAGGCTGAACTCTCAAGGGTGCTGGCTGAAGGATTGGGAGGAGGGGCTCATACATCAAATCAATAATTAGGAAGACAGAAGGAAGAGAGACAGATTGGGCAAGAGATTTCTGAAAATTGAACACTTGTCATCTGTGTAGCTCCCTTGCTGATGATTCATTAAATGAAGATTAACTTCAGTAACTTATTGACCAACATGCCAATAATTCCTGACCTCTATTGCTTGCAATGCATGAAATAGGCAGGTCTAGATACATTGCCAAAGGAGTTGACTAAGTGTGAGATGATTTAGAGAAATTCATGAGCATATTTACATAGTATGTTAGTTATGTGGGTTTCTCATTTATATTTACCAGTTGTAACTGAATGTGAACATTTACCATGTTGAATATTGTGTTACATTGATAGGAGATATAAAAGAAGCAAATAGCATTCTTAAAGGAGTTTATAGTTTATCTAGAGATGCTAAATATGCAAATATGTTGTTACACAAGATAATTTACTCATGTTTCCAAAAAGACCACTGTGATTATTTACAACATGGAGTTATGTCCTTTACTTCATCTCTGGCTCTGACTCATGATCACATCTTACCTAAGTAAACTTTCTTAAAAAACAGATTGTTTCGCCTGTAATCCCAGCACTTTGGGAGGCCGAGGCGGGCGGATCACGAGGTCAGGAGATCGAGACCATCCTGGCTAACACGGTGAAACCCCGTCTCTACTAAAAATACAAAAAATTAGCCGGGCGAGGTGGCGGGCGCCTGTAGTCCCAGCTACTCGGGAGGCTGAGGCAGAAGAATGGCGTGAACCCCAGGGGGCGGAGCCTGCAGTGAGCCGAGATTGCGCCACTGCACTCCAGCCTGGGCGACAGCGAGACTCTGTCTCAAAAAAAAAAAAAAAAAAAAAAACAGATTGTTTCAGCTCTTGCCATACATTCTGGCAAAGGACAAAGAGTATAAGTTTCATGAAACATGACTAAAATAAGGAAAAGTGTAATTATGGACTGCAATGAAATTGTCAGAAGTACTCCTGGTCTCCTGGGATCACTTATGTGTATTATATTAAAGGCTCTTCTGACTGCATGAGCCAAATGTGGTAGAATAATGTTTCAGGACACCTCGCAAAGAGATCCATTCATTTAAGGTCCTGGAACATAGGAACTTATAATATTCAGCTCCTAATACTACGAGAGAAATAAACCTATATATGTTTTGCACTACTCAGAAAACTTTTAAGGATAACTAGCATTTTCAAATCTTAGGGAAATAAGGAAGAAGATGTTATGAAGTCCTTCATTCTGCAGTTTTTACAGCAGTGCTGTGAGGGTTGGGGATGGGTCTCCAAATGTTCAGGACTTGCTGGTTTCCCTCCCACTGCAACCTCCCTTTCATCTGCCCATGAAGGAGCTTGGTTCAGCTCTACCCAGCCTACCCACAGCTCTCACTAAGGACAGGAAGCATATAAAGAATCCACTCCCATTAACACTTCCTCAGACGAGATTAGCATCAGTATCAAGGTCTGTGTTGCTCCTAGGCCTGTGTTGCTTCTATCCATTGCCAAGGCTTCTAGAACCTGAGTTGTGCTTCCTTTGACCCACTTTCTAGTACCTTCATGACTGGGTCTTCTAGCCCAATCACTGAATCCCTGTTGTCCAGACTCTTGGTCTCTCACTGCTAATGTCCACCTTGACAACCCATTCACTTATTCTGAGCTTAAGTTGCTATTGCAGATGAAGCCCAAATACACATTCACATACACACACAGATGCATACACACACACACACACACACACACCCCACGGTTTTCTCATTCTGGAATTTTATGAGAGAACAATGGTAACTGTGGCAACCCTTGTTATTTCCCTGTGAAGTTTTTTGAGAGATCGATGTTTTGTATTGTTTTTTCATCTAAGAAAACACTGGCCTCAAAAGGCAAAAGTCACCAGCAAGAGAAATGTTCCTAGAAGGCCCTAACATACTCTTTTTTATGACAGTTAGCAAAATATCTTCTGTCACTTCTGGGGCTCTTATTCCCCCTCTGTGCAGCATTCATAGTGTTCAAGTATATTAAGCATTCGCATCATTTGTATGTGGCCCGGCCTCTGTTCTAATCCTATGTATTAGTACAGCTAACTGCAGCTCACTCGGTGCTGCTGTTTGCACAGCTGGACATGTCGGATAGAATGAGTTCATCCCTTCAAAGATGAGCTTAAAGCCGCCATCTAGTAGTGTCTTTCTTTTTAACACCTACCACCAGTCCTCATTGTTCTCACAAGCACAGTGAGTTTTAATGAAGTCATGTCTTTTAGTGTAACGCTGCAGGTGCACAAATGCTGATAAACCTCCTTAACTCGCTGTCAGATCAGCATGTTTATCTGCAAGCTGCAGAATGTATTTAGTTATGAGATATGAAAAGGTCCTTCAGATTTGTTCTCTAGGCCCAAAAGCTAATGACTCACTGGTGAAGCGCTGTATCTCCCCAAAGGTTATAATGACTAGTTGCTGATGGTCTGAAGAAATTCATGGTAGCATCTGGACTGCAAAGTATAGAAATTTCTTTTAAAAACATAAAAAGAGAAATAGTTTCTAAGGGCCCAGGAAATTTTACCAAATACGGAGTAAACAAAATTAAATGTGTGTGTGTGCACACTTGTGTGTTTTTGTGTGTGTGTGTGTGGAGACACAGAGAGAGGGAGAGAGAAATGCCAACATGGTAACATGTAGCCAGCTTTCAGAACATTGCTAAAGGAATTCACTCTTAAAATCTTAATATGCAAATACCCTGAGGATGTTATTAGCATCTTAGTGTAAATTAAATTTAATCACATTGCTTTCTTCACAAGACTAAATGTCTGAGGGAATCAGAGTTTGACCTGGAAATTAGAAGGGAAATGCATGAGGAGAAAATGGGTGGTCAAAGAGGAAAGAGCAGGATTTTCAAGTGCAGAATCCTCCCCAGTAAGACAGGGCTGAGAAGGAAGGTCCTTTTAAAGAGAGAATACCAAGCACTCAGAGAGCTCCAGGCTCCTAAGGAGGAGGAAAGAGGAAAACTAAGGATGTGGGAGAAAGGCTTAAGCTCTAAGTATCAACCCACAGGGCAAGAACAGGGAGAACTCAGGGGAGAGGAGACCCAGTTCTCAAGATAAGCAGGTTTGGTGGAAAGTGCCTTTAATTGATTGACAAATCACTTAACCTCTAAGTATGTTGTCATCTGATACTGGTGCCTACCTGCCTATCTCACCTCATAGCTATTAGTGCAATGTAAGATCATGTCTTATGAGCAACTTACTGGAAAGCGTATTAAAACATAAAGCAAAAACAAAAACAAATATATATAAACCCCCATCGTAATGTGAATTACCATAATGATAACTTCTATTAAGCAGTTAGTAGTTATTGAACACTGACCACTTGCATTGTATACAGTAAACACAATTAAATCCCTTCACTTAAGTTTCTCTGAGTTCAGTGGAGAAGACAGGTGAGTAAATAAATAACCAAAACACAGGATGCCAAATACATACTTAGCATAAAGTACCACAGGGGTAAGGAAGAAGAGAGACCTCCTCTGTCTGGGGAAATGAAGAAAGGCTTCTCCGAGGCAGAGATGGTTGAGCTGAGTCCTGCTTGCTGAGTTTGCCAGAGGAGGCAATGGCAAGTCAGGAAGAGTAGCAGAGGCAGAGGCAGCCAGCATGTGCTGCCAGTCTATGCTGCTCGGCACTGCTTGGCCCAAAGAATAAAAAGCAAGGGAATGCCAAATCTCATCCCTAACTCCCCTGGCCTGATTCCATGCTCACCAAGCCACCTTCTGATGATAATTTGGCTTCCCACTTACATTTGCCTGCAGGGAAAGCACATGCTGGACAAGAAACTGGAGTACCCAGTCCACTCAATGATTACATTTCTCATTGTAAATTAATAAATCAGCATTCTGGCTGATGCCATTTTTAAAGTTCAGACATGAAACTATCACTTATAAGGCAGATGCAAAGGAAATTAGGTGAAAATTCACCAGGAAATCAGCCTTCAGGCTGCCAAGGAGTACAATGACAGAACAGCTGTGCAAACACCACAGGTAACATCCGGAAATGGGCTCCTGACAAAGTCATATTACACAGCATGGCTCTCCCCACATGAAGTGCTCCCTCTCACATTTTTCTCCATTGTTAAATTCCCCTCAAATAGCCCAGCAAAAAGTCAGCATCAAATGTCAGTCATCCCAGACTCCTGGAAACCCAGGTCTGGAGAGAAGGAAATATCTATTTTACTGAATCCTTTACCCTTCCTGTTATGGACTGAATTGTGTCCCCCCAAATTTGTGTGTGGAAGCCCTAATCTCCACTACCTCAGAATGTGACTGTATTTGGAGACAGTGTCTTTAAAAATGTAATTAATATATCAAAGAGAGATCTGCACTTCCATGTTTATTGCAGCACTATTCGCAATAGCCAAGGTTGGAAGCAACCTAAGTGTCCATCAACAGATGAGTGGATAAAGAAAATGTGGTACGTATATACAAAGGAATACTATTCATCCATAAAAACATGAGATCCTGTCATTAGCAACAACGTGGATGGAACTGGAGATCATTATGTTAAGTGAAATAAGCCAGGCACAGAAAGACAAACTTCACATGTTCTCACTTATTTATTGGAGCAAAAATCAAAACAATTGAACTCATGGGGATAGAGAGTAGAAGGATGGTTACCACAGGCTGGGAAGGGTAGTCGGGGAGGAAAGTGGAGACGGTTAATGGGCACAAAAAAATGGTTAATAGTTAAAATAAATGAGGTCTAGTATTTGATAGCACAACAGAGTGACTACAGTCAACAATAATTTATGGTACATTTAAAAATAACTAAAAGAGTATAATTGTGTCATTTGCAACACAAAGAAAGGATGGATGCTTGAGGTGATGGATACGCCATTTTCCCTGATGTGATTATTACACATTGCATGAGATACCAAAATATCTCACATACCCCCAAAATATGTACACCTACTATGTACCCACAATTAAAATTAAAAAAAATTAAAGCCTGTAAGGTAAACATAGTACTCAATAAATATTTGTCGAATAATAAATATTGAACCTAAAAAAACAACAAAAACAAAGAGAACAACATAATTAAGATTACAAGAGGTCATTAGTGTGGGCCTTAGTTGAACATAACTGGTGTCCCCGTGAGAACAGATGGATTAGGACACAGACACACACAGAGGAAAGAAATGTGAGGGCACATTGAAAAGATGGCCATCTACCAGCCAAAGAGAGAGGCCTCAGACGAAATCAACCTTGCCGACACCTTGATCTCAGACTTCTAGCCTCCAGGTCTGTGAGGAAATAAATTGCTGTTGTTTAAGCGCCCCCAGTCTGTGGTACTTTGTTATGGCAGCCCTAGCAAATAAATACACTTCCATTGAGATTCTTTCCTCCAACCATTCCAAACAGAAGATGTCTACCTGGGACCTTTAACAACATGGAAAACTGTCTACCACTGTCATCAAGAATGCATTTTAGTCTATCATGCTTATCTCCACTCCAGTTACTCAGGTGGGTGGCTTTGGAGCCCTATATGTGATAAACGTTGTCTAATCTTGCTAAAGTAACCACAGCCATGGTGTCTGAGGCATAAGCGCTTGAAAGTATAATGCTTTTACAACCTGCACAAAGTCTTTGACACAGACAAGATGAAGGACTCATATAATGAAAGCACAAAAACTTATGATTATCCTAATGTTGTCTTGATATTTTACAAAATTTCTGTAAAAATCAATACCCTGTTGGATAGGTGAGCCAAGGAGAGTCAGACCACTGTCCAGCTAATTCCTGAAGATATAAACCATGGAACAATAACAATTCATTTGAAAAACTCCTAAACCTCTCTTATTTAACAACTTATTTCTGAATGGGTGGAGTCTCTCTGTTACAGACTTACAGTTTCAAGATTTGCTTGCACACATGGGTGAGTTTTTTTTGCAAGCTGTCTCAATGAAAACCGGTTTGAGAAACTGGAAGCCTTTCAGTTTGCAACCGGAACTGGAGTCAAATAAGTTTTACCACTGCTTCACTTGCTTTTTGTTTGTTTGTTTTGTTTTGACCATTTATTATTTTGTGAGAAGCAACACTAACTGAAATATACCACATTTGAGGAGTAAAATTTCTTCTTTTTTTTTTTTTTTTTTTGAGATGGAGTCTCGCTGTTTCGCCCAGGCAGGAGTGCAGTGGCGCTATCTCGGCTCACTGCAAGCTCCGCCTCCTGGGTTCACGCCATTCTCCTGCCTCAGCCTCCCAAGTAGCTGGGACTACAGGTACCCGCCACCGCGCCCAGCTAATTTTTTGTATTTTTAGTAGAGACGGGGTTTCACCGTGTTAGCCAGGATGGTCTCGATCCGTAATGTTCTTAATTCCCAACACTCAAAGTCTGTTGCAATTCAGTCTCCCATTAAAAATGTTCCTGTTCCATCAACAGTTATAAGTCATGTGGATAATATGGACCGTTGAAATGACATGATGGAAATGGCGCTTTACCTATATGGTCTTCCTCAGAAAAACAAGTAACTCCAGTCTAATAATGAGAAAAGTGTGAGACAAATCCTGTGTCACAACGTGAGGGAAATTTGACTAAATGCCTGACCAATAATTCTCAAAGTTGTGAAGGTCATCAAAAACAAGGAGGGTTTGGAAAACTGTCACAGACCGGAGGATACTAAGGAGATAATGGAATTTGAATCAAATCCTGGAATGGAAAAAGAACATTAGATAAAAATGAAGGAAATCTGAATAACATATGAACTTTAGTTCATAATAATTTATCAATACTGATTTACTAATTGTAACAAATATACATGGTCTATTAATTGTAACAAATAGTCATTATGATGTTACCAATAAGGGAAACTGGGTGTGGGGTGTACGGGAAGTCTATGTACTATCTTCACTATTTTTCTGTAAATCTAAAACTGTTCTAAAATAAAAGGTTTATTTTTAAAGCATACCCTGTTTAACTCTTCCCAATGGCCATGGTTGTCTGTAAGCGGCTCTAATACATAGCCAGACAGTCTTCTCCAAGATTCTAATATGTGGCTCCCCTCCTCTTCTGATCCCTCTCCCAGTGCAACTTCTGCACGTATTTCATGTAAGCACTTTATTTTTCAGTAATAAGAGCTTCTTTTAACTCTCAACAGTCATTTGAAGGTTGCTGCTCCCTCCTCTTTAAAACATACTTTAGTGGAGGCTTCATATCATCATCTCATCCACTGCACAGCACATGACTCTTGTCTTGATGTT
Organism: Homo sapiens; assembly: GCF_000001405.40. NCBI lineage: Eukaryota > Metazoa > Chordata > Mammalia > Primates > Hominidae > Homo > Homo sapiens. The sequence goes on from NC_000007.14 coordinate 91,638,243, forward strand.
TTCTCCACTGGGATGTCTACAACTTCAATTCCTGGGGCATCTTTCTCACAGTATAAGCCCCAAGTTTTCATTAAATAAAGCCCTTTGGGGCCAAAACTCAGCTGCTAGAAGCAATAGAGAGACGCCAAGAGGCCCCACACTAAATCAGTGTGAGGGAAATCAATACCAGGAAGAGCTGGGTATAAATGTTTTCAGCCCTTAGCATTCAAGTCCCGCAATGCTAAAAGCATCCAGATGCATGCCACCTGGGATCCAAAGTCCCTAAAGAGTATTCTTTTCCTGTTGAATCACTTGGGGTTCAGGTTATTTTTTGTTGCTTTTATGTGGTTGGTTTTTAATCAAAAAGCAGTGTGTGTTTGCAGAAAAAGCCTCTTGGCCTCAATATTCAACTCACAGTCCAGTTGACTTGCTGTATTCAGAGTCGAACAGACCTTGATCTTCATTTATTATTCAATAAGAAGAATACAATTAGCCTGGAGTTGGTTTTTAGACCCAAACACAAAGAAAGGCCCACATATCCGAGGAGGAATAATTCCACTTCCCCTATAACTGATGTGATGATGGAGCAAGTAGCAGGCAGCAAATCGATATTCCACCATCCTCCTGAACGCCAGGATTAGAGGGAGTCTTTGCCTCTGCTCGGAAAGCAGGGGAAGACAGACCTGCCTTGCAAATATTTACTGAAGGGAGCCCTTTTTACTTTGCAAATCATTGATTTACAAAGTGTATGAGTGCTAAGAGAAAGAAAGCTTATGAAATTCCAATGATTTATGCTTAGCACAGAAGCAAAGCTAATGCTGGGAAGAACTGAGTTTCCAGTTCTGGAAAGAAGAAAGCTTAAGCCTCCAGCAAGCCAGGTAGAATCTATGGAAGCCCTCTAAGAAAAAAAAAAAGTAAAATAAGCTAGGCAGAGAAAGACAAAATCGCTTTTTTCACTCATATGTGGGAGCTTAAAAAGTGCATCTCATGGAGGTTGAGAGTAGAATGATCCATTCCAGAGGCTGGGAAGAGAAGTGGGGAGGAATGATGAAGAGAAGTTGATTAATGTTTACAAAATAGTTTGACAGAAGGAGTATGTTCTTGTATTTGACAGTATAGTAGGAAAATTATGGTTAACAATAATTTATTGTGTATTTCAAAATAGCTAGAAGAGAAAAATTTGTAATGTTCTCAACACAATGAAAAGATCAATGTTTGAGGTGATGGGTATCTCAGTTACCCTGATTTGATCGTGGCACATTGTATACATGCATCAAAATATTATATATATATATTCCAAAATATCTACAACTATGATATATCAATTAAAAATATGAAAAAAGAAAAGAAAACTGATCCCATAGGAGAATTGTTATGATTCACATTTGTATGTGTGTGTATGTGTATGTATATATATATATATATATATATATATATATATATATATATATATACACACATATATACACAAAGACATATATATTCCAGTGACCTTTATGGAAATAAGATGTTTCAATTTATATCAAATAATCATTATTACCAATAAAATTCATAGATACATAAGTGCATCATATGATTAGATCAGTGCACAATAATTTTATGCCCTGAATAACAGCTTCCATTTGTTGTGCCAGGCAGTATGAAAAGGACTTTCACTCACGAGCTCAGTCAAACCTCACAAGAACCCCATGAAGTAGATATCACCATTATTGTCTCCATTTTATGGCTGAAGATACTGCTCCCAGTGGGATCAGAAAAAAGTAAATAATTCCCTTAAGGTCTCACCACTGGTTAGAAAGAGAACTAGGATTTCTTTGTGTTGGGTGTCTCTGGAGCCCAAAGCCACCGTGCTAAGCCTTCTCTGTCTCTCTAACCCATACCTGAATTTCCTTTAATATGTAAGCCCTCCCACCATCTCCAAGCAGCTATTAGGAACACTTCAACTCAAGCATCCCATGCAGCAGGTGCTGCAACAAATTTTTTTCCCACTGGAAGAAAACTGGCAAGAGTAGGGAATACCTACGTGGCCCACAAATTGATGCTACTGTCACCTCCAAATATTGTTGGGAATTCTGCAGAAGTAATTTGTGATTTTATAAAAGCAAAAACAAAAAACAAACTCTCAAAGTTTGGCATGCTTCAGAATCATCAGGAGGGTTTGTCGAAGCCACAGGTTATTAGACCCCATCCCCTAGAGATTCTGTTTCCATACTTTGAGGTAGAGCCCCCAAATCTGCATTTCTAATAAGTTTTCCAGGGATGCTTATGCTGCTAGTCCAGGCCCAGGGTTGGAGGATCGCTGCATTAGACTATCAGATTAGCATAAACATTATTTAGTTTTTCATATAGACCAAGCAAAAGCAAGAGTAAATAAATTCTCAAAACACAAAGATAGCAAGCAATGTCCAGAGTCAGGGCCCGCTTCATGAGCGTGACCACTGCAGTTACACAGTGCCCTGCGCTCAGAAGAGCCCTGCCCTGGGGGTTTAATACTCTGATTTCATCTTTGAATTTGTGTTTTGTAAGTGAAATTCAACAGGACAATGGAGCATGGTTGGTGGGCTTGAAGCCTTGGTGTAGGCCTGCTTCCTACTACCTCTCCACCCCACAAGGATGGTTCTCAGTCCCCACTGTTCCCTGTCTCCTGGTGCCCCAGACAATCTGACTTTACTCTCCGCAAACTTGCCCCACAGCCACTTCCACCACATTCCACTCACCCCCAAAGGGGCCTGGGCACTGATGCAGGAAGGGTCAGGGTTGGGTGCAAGTCTCAATGGCTTCTCTAGGTGGGGTAAGGTATCTATGATCATCCCTAGTCTGGGCTGACAGTGCCACAGTCCATTCTGCTGGCAACTCAAACTTAGGACTATGCCACTCAGAGACAGATGTTGGTGGGAAAGACCTGTCCTTCTTCTAAATTTTAAAATATTCAAGTGGTTGAGTTATAGACTCCTAAAGGAGAAACAATTTGAGTTGAATAACACCTCTAAAATGAAAAGATTCTCCAGACTTTTGCAAATGAGCTTTGAATGAGGTATTTCAGGGACTTTTTCAGCTATTCAAGTGATCACAAAGAAAAGGGACATTTGAAAGTCTTCAATGAAGCTTTTATTGGGAACTTTATACTCTCTCCGTCTTCTCTCCCACCATAGCCAATTCATCTACAAGTGTGCCTAATTGGTTATGTGCATCTTCATGGTTTGAAGACTACTCTAGACTCGTGTTTCTCAAACAATTAAAGTGCATATAAACCACTTGGAAGTGTAGATTCTGATTCAGTAGGCCTGGAGTAGAACCCAGGAATCTGCATTTCTAATAAGCTTCCAGGTGATGGTGATGATGCTGGTCTATTCTAGATCCTTGTCCGCCAAATATGGTCTATGAGCCAGTAGCATCAGCAATCCCTAGAAGTTTGTTAGAAATTTAGAATTTCTGGCCCCAACCCAGACCTACAAAAAAGAATCTGCATTTTAATAAGATATCTGGGAGATTCAAAAGCACACTGAAGTGTGAGAAGCATTACCCTAAGCCTTCTGAATCATCTTTCTCCTCCCATTTCTTCTGCTTTCCAAAGCCACAAGATGGAGATCTGTCACTGAGACTACTGGTGACTGTCCCAAATTTATAATCTGGTAGGTTTTAGGAAAGACACATTCAATGTTGTTTTATTCTTTATCCTGACTCTCCCACCATGTCCCAGGATAGTAGAACTTCTGGCAATGACCTAAGACTCATCTGTAGCTTCCATTTTTATAAAATACTAGCAGGACCAACATTCTCATTATATAGAGGAGGCTCAATCTGGACAGGAGGTATCTACAGGGAATCATAGAGTGCACTTACCCATTGGGCTGTGAATAGTTGCAAGTTATTCATAGGCTGAGAGAATAAGAAAATTCAACAGGAGAGGTCTACAGTTTCTGCAATACAGTATTAAGTGGATATATTTATGCTACTTGCTCTGAGAAGTTGTATGGCAGAGTGGTTAGGAACACACAGAGGCTCCAGAGATAGACTGCCTGGATTCAGATTGTACTCATGTCCTCTACGAGCTGTGTGACCCTGGACCAACTACTTAAACTCCCTGTGCCTGTTTCCTCCTTTAAAACAGATGTGATAACAGCACCTACTTCATAAGGTATTATGAGTATCAAAGCCATAAGATCCTTGGAATCATGGCTTGCATAAAGTAGTAAGCTTTGCAAAGATGTCTTAATGCAAACTTGGAAAGACAGCTAAATCTTAAACTTTCATTTGCAGGGCTTCAACATTTCTATAACTTTGCTTAATTGAAACTGTTGCATTATAATTGGGGACACATTTTGCATTCCATAAGAGAGAAGAGATCCTATCTCAAGTATCAGGAACATCCCTATAGTTACTATAGCAATTAACACATTTAACAAGACACTTGAAAGAGGATCTGCTGGCCCCAAGGACCCTTGAAAGGGGGACTGTTGGCCCCAAGACCCTGAAGGTGTGGCCCTGAGTCTATCTCTGTATTTCATTGTCACCCACCTGGCAGAGGAGGAAAATTCAAAGTACACCTCCAAATTCCCACATAAGCAGAAAGGCTCACCACTTTAAAAACCAATTTATTTTACTTTAATATTCAGAGATTGTTATTTTCTGAACAAACATCTATCAAAAGCTGCCAAGGTACTGCAGAAAATGAACTTTAAAATTGGGTGTTTAGCAATTAAATCTCACTCCGTAAATTGGCTAGGATCCATGTAATAAATTAGAATATACAAACACTGCTTTTCCATTGAAATAAAAACCTAAGGGGAAACCCCATGTAACAGAGACCGTCAGATTTCAACACCCCTTCTCCACCCAAGATATTGAAGATAGGATCAAATATATTGCAAGATGTCTGCCACACTCACAGGCTGTTCCGATGCCTGCCTGACACAGCCGCCAGTTTTTCCTATGCTCCATCAATTATTTCTTTGTTTTGCCTGGATGGTGCTTGTAAACTCCTCAAGGTGTGCTCCTGGGCAGTTACGTGCATTTGAGATTTTTCCCTTCTGATCCCTACTTGGCTGTCTGTGGACCAAAACTGATTTGCAGGCAAGGGAAGACTGCTGAAAATTTCATGACATTTAGATTTTTATAAAGCATATGGTGGTGGCTCAATAAGTTTGCTTACCTTGGATTAAAACCTATTAACGTTCCAGCATTTTCCTCTCCGTGAGATTCATTTCTGACTCGCTTGTGGTGACTTGCAGAGCCCTTCATTACAGCTCAGGGGCACAACTGATGCCGCACAAGCCATTAAAAATGAGTTTGCGAGAGTACAAAAAAGAAACCTTTGTAGACGAGGGCCAATTTGTTTCGAAGGCGATGCACTGTAAGAGCATTCACAAAGCGGCAAGCATTATCTCAGATTCAAGCTATGCCGTTTTCTCTCCTATTTTTAAATACCAAATAGAGAAATGGGAGAGTCCTTTCTTTGTGACAGCAGCTTTGGTTCCTGCCCTTATTTTCTGCCATTGTAGCTCCAGTTAAGCTGTGAGAACAGCCCTGTGGGTTTTTTTTTTTTTCCGTTGGTTAAAATCGATGTTTGTCTGGGGTCCTTATGAGAGTAATCTTATTCTCTATGCCTCAGTTTCTTTATATGCAAGGTATCTCCAATACCAAACTCACAGGTTGTTGGGAAGGGTGGGAGATCTAATGAGTATAATTTTTATAAGTGAAAATGAGTACTCAATAAAGCACAAATAATTATTTTTGTTGTTATTAAAGCAGGCACATTTTACTATGTGCCATCTCAAGATTCTCCCATTGTTTTTCCTAAGTGATTGCAATTTAATTTGTTTTTAATTAGCCTTCATTATTTACATATTCACCCTAGTTGAAAGCTCCAAGACAAATACGTTTGGATCAGGGCTTCTCAACCTCAGAAATATTGACATCTTGAGCTGGACAATTCTTTCAGGGTGGGGACTGTCCTGTGCATTATAGGACTTTTCACGAAATCCTTGACCTCTACCTGTTAGGTGTCAGCATCCCTCCCCACTCCCCACAGTTGTAACAACCAAAAGTGTGTCCAGCCTTTGCCAAATGTCCCCTGGGGGACAAAATAACCCAGTAGAGTACCACTGCTTCAGAGTTTATCTAGCTGGTGTTGTCTTTGGTTGCATTTACTGTACATGTAGAACAGCAAGAGCACTTGAACTGGTGAAAGCTATAGAAACCAGTGACGCACCCTAAGAACATATTACAATTTGTATGACAGAGATATTAACCAGGCCTGAAAGCTAATAGCGGCCACTAAAGTCAAGAATGAGACTGAGGCCATCGACAGGAATTTTTGAGTAAGATTAGGGGAGAAAGGAAAGTAGCTCAGAATGAGTCCGTAGAACTGCATGGGTACATCCACCTAATAGTGAAGAATACTTCCAAACTCCAGGGGCCAGAAGAGAAGAAAGAGAGAAAAGTACCCAGGATAGAGCTGGCCAAAGGGAAGAGGCGACAGGGAAGGGAAACAGCTTTCATGTTCAAGCAGAGGGCAGCTGAAGAGGAAAGAGCACAGGGAAATATGATATACTGCAAACAAAACAGCAAGAAAAATGGAGAAAAGATGAGAGAAGGAAGGACAGAAAAGAAGCAAAATTCACAGTGAACATAGAGGAAAGAAATGAGGGTAAAGCCTAAAGGTGTAAAGATATGCCTGACTTCCGAGCTTATCTGGGACAAGTGTTAGCCCACGGGAAGTTCCACACCGGCCTCCCCACCCCGTAACTGCCTTCTTTCTACCACCGGTGTGGACTCGATGAACTGGATCTGCCTTCTCACAGGCTGCCCTGACCATTGAGTCGTGCAGTCAGGGGCCAGCTGGTCAAGAGGGACAGCATCTATTGCTCTGCCCATGCCTCAACCCAGATTCTGTCCTTTCCCCAGTCAAATCTAGTAAACTCAATGGCTCCTGGTTCCCAATGATAGCCATGTAGCAATACCATATTAGGCTCATTTGAAGCACAGAATGGATGTGCTGATGGTATCCAGCCCTTAGTCTGACCTTCAAAGGCCTCCAGACTCTGCCTTTGCCTTCTTCTCCAACCTTGTCCATTCTCATTCTGATATTTTCCAACTGTACTTTTTGAAATTTGGAGTGCATATTTCTTTTTTTTTTACAAGCATGAAAAGTTTGATTTTCATAAGTTAATCAGAAAGTGATTTTTTTATTATACTTTAAGTTCTGGGATACATGTGCAGAATATGCAGAATGTTACATACGTATACATGTGCCACGGTGGTTTGCTGCACCCATCAACCCGTCATCTACATTAGGTATTTCTTCTAATGCTATCCCTCCACTAGCCCCCTACCCCCCAGCAGGCCCCAGTGTGTGATGTTCTCCTCCCTGGGTCCATGTATTCTCCTTGTTCAACTCCCACTTATGAGTGAAAACATGCAGTGTTTGGTTTTCTGTTCTTGTGATAGTTTGCTGAGAGTGATAGTTTCCAGCTTCATCCATGTCCCGAACTCATCCTTTTTTATGGCTGCATAGTATTCCATGGAAAGTAACCTCTGATTATTTCATTTTTCAAGTGGGAAACCTGGCCTTCTTTATTACTTGGCTTCCAGGAATGGTGAAAACTGAGAACTATTTGTGATTTTCCAAAGAATATCTATATCTATTTTCTCAGAATTCATAATTTCCTAGTTTTTCTATCTACTTCACTGATACTAAGCTAAGAAAGTGACTTACTATCCAATTGTCCACCCACACAATAATTGTGTGGTCTAATAATTCTAGGCCATATTTTCTCAATTTAATGAAAGTATGTCTTAGTTAAAGTCTTGTTTGTAGTAAGGCTAGTCCACAGCAAATAAAACCCATTGTCATCTAAGTCTAGTCATGGCATGTCTTTTTTATAGGTGGTTCCACATAAGTGACTTTTCCAGGTAACCGAAGCTTATAATTCAGATGCCCAAATGATTTTCATTTTAATTACATTGATTAGAAATTATTTAAAATAATAACTCCCTTTTTTTTGCTTTCTTAAGCATAGTATCTCAAACACAAGATTACCTTTTATTGATAATTTATTAATGTACAACTTAATTAAATAAGCTTTTATTTAGTACTGTACCACATACTAAACGCTGGGGACCCAAACCTAAAGATTTGAGTTCCACCTGCTATGCAGTGCTTTTATTATTGTGGGAGTGACTCTGGGAGATATTGAGCTATATAGAGGTTACTTTCCTGCCCAAGTATTCAGTATCAAGGAAACCATAAATATGAATGACAACATATCTTAACCATCAACTATACCTCTTAAATTATTTAAAACACTGGGCTGATTCTTTAAGCCTGAGGGGAAAAAAATAAGTTGAAATATACTGTTTGCCATAAACAAGAAAATTCTGTAGCCCAAAACAACAGTATGGAAGAGCTCAGTGGATCAATAAATATTTGTGTGTAAGGCATTATGCTTGGTACTGAAAGAAATTCAAAGATGATTCCTACCCTCAAGGAGTAGACAGTCTGGTCAGGGACATAGACACTTACATAATTAACTACTATAATACAATGTAGGAAGGGTTTAATACCAGAAGGGAGGATGACAATAACAGCCAGCATTACTACACTTTCTATGTGCTTGATACTGTTCGAATTGCCTTACCTGAGTGAATTTATTTAATAAATAAGCTTGCGAGGTGGATACTAATACTAGCTCCTTTTTACAGATGACAAAATGGAAAGAGAGAGTGGTTAGGTCACACAACTCGTACATGACAGTGAGCCACTGAGCAAATTACTTTTGACTGCTGCAGGATGCAAGAGGGCCTCCTGGGAAAGTTGGCATTTGTGCTGGATCTAGAAGAATAGGTAGCTCTTGAATTTGTAGAAGGTTGAGGGAGAGCATTCCAAGTAGAGGAAAAAAACACAAAGTCTGGGAGATGGGGACTTGTGAAGCACATGGCAAATGTATTACCCAAAATCCTTTCACTGATTTTAATTCAGAGAGTGGAGTGTATTTTAAAGAAAACCCTTCACAAAAGAAAGCAGGAAAGATCAAAAATTGACATCCTAACATCACAATTAAAAGAACTAGAGAAGCAAGAACTAGAAAAGAACTAGAAAAGCAAGAGCAAACACATTCAAAAGCTAGCAGAAAGCAAGAAATAACTAAGATCAGAGCAAAACTGAAGGAAATAGAGACATAAAAAATCCTTCAAAAAATCAATGAATCCAGGAGCTGGTTTTTTGAAAAGATCAACAAAATTGATAGACGTCTAGCAAGACGAATAAAGAAGAAAAGAGAGAAGAATCAAATAGAAGCAATAAAAAATGATAAAGGGGATATCACCACCGATCCCACAGAAATACAAACTACCATCAGAGAATACTATAAACACCTCTATGCAAATAAACTAGAAAATCTGGAAGAAATGGATAAATTCCTCGACCCATACACTCTCCCAAGAATAAGCCAGGAAGAAGTTGAATCTCTGAATAGACCAATAACAGGCTCTGAAATTGAGGCAATAATTAATAGCTTACCAACCAAAAAAAGTCCAGCACCAGACGGATTCACAGCCGAATTCTACCAGAGGTACAAGGAGAAGCTGGTACCATTTCTTCTGAAAATATTCCAATCAATAGAAAAAGAGGGAATCCTCCCTAACTCATTTTATGAGGCCAGCATCATCCTGATACCAAAGCCTGGCAGAGACACAACAAAAAAACAGAATTTTAGAACAATATCCCTGATGAACATCGACGCAAAAATCCTGAATAAAATACTGGCAAACCGAACCCAGCAGAACATCAAAAAGCTTATCCACCATGATCAAGTGGGCTTCATCCCTGGGATGCAAGGCTGGTTCAATATACACAAATCAATAAATGTAACCCAGCATATAAACAAAACCAACGACAACAACCACATGATTGTCTCAATACATACAGAAAAGGCCTTTGACAAAATTTAACAGCCCTTCATGCTAAAAACTCTCAATAAATTAGGTATTAATGGGACATATCTCAAAATAATAAGAGATATTTATGACAAACCCACAGCCAATATCATACCAAATGGGCAAAAACTGGAAGCATTCCCTTTGAAAACTGGCACAAGACAGGGATGCCCTCTCTCACCACTCCTATTCAAGATAGTGTTGGAAGTTCTGGCCAGGGCAATCAGGCAGGAGAAAGAAATAAAGGGTATTCAATTAGGAAAAGAGGAACTCAAATTGTCCCTGTTTGCAGATGACATGATTGTATATCTAGAAAACCCCATCGTCTCAGCCCAAAATCTCCTCAAGCTGATAAGCAACTTCAGCAAAGTCTCAGGATACAAAATCAATGTGCAAAAATCACAAGCATTCTTATACAGTAATAACAGACAAACAGAGAGCCAAATCATGAGTGAACTCCCATTCACAATTGCTTCAAAGAGAATAAAATACCTAGGAATCCAACTTACAAGGGATGTGAAGGACCTCTTCAAGGAGAACTACAAACCACTGCTCAATGAAGTTAAAGAGGATACAAACAAATGGAAGAACATTCCATGCTCATGGATAGGAAGAATCAATATTGTGAAAATGGCCATACTGCCCAAGGTAATTTATAGATTCAATGCCATCCCCATCAAGCTACCAATGACTTTCTTCACAGCATTGGAAAAAACTACTTTAAACTTCATCTGGAACAAAAAAAAGAGCCCACATTGCCAAGTCAATCCTAAGCCAAAAGAACAAAGCTGGAGGCATCACACTACCTGACTTCAAACTATACTACAAGGCTACAGTAACCAAAACAGCATGGTACTGGTACCAAAACAGAGATATAGACCAATCGAACAGAACAGAGCCCTCAGAAATAATGCCACATATCTACAACTATCTGATCTTTGACAAACCTGACAAAAACAAGCAATGGGGAAAGGATTCCCTATTTAATAAATGGTGCTGGGAAAACTGGCTAGCCATATGTAGAAAGCTGAAACTGGATCCCTTTCTTATACCTTATACTAAAATTAATTCAAGATGGATTAAAGACTTAAATGTCAGACCTAAAACCATAAAAACCCTAGAAGAAAACCTAGGCATTACCATTCAGGACATAGGCATGGACAAGGACTTCATGTCTAAAACACCAAAAGCAATGGCAACAAAAGCCAAAAGGGATCTAATTAAACTAAACAGCTTCTGCACAGCAAAAGAAACTACCATCAGAGTGAACAGGCATCCTTCAGAATGGGAGAAAATTTTTGCAATCTACTCATCTGACAAAGGGCTAATATCCAGAATCTACAATGAACTCAAATTTACAAGAGAAAAACAAACAACCCCATCAAAAAGTGGGTGAAGGATATGAACAGACACTTCTCAAAAGAAGACATTTATGCAGCCAAAAGACACATGAAAAAATGCTCATCATCACTGGCCATCAGAGAAATGCAAATCAAAGCCACAATGAGATACCATCTCACACCAGTTAGAATGGCGATCATTAAAAAGTCAGGAAACAACAGGTGCTGGAGAGGATGTGGAGAAGTAGGAACACTTTTACACTGTTGGTGGGACTGTAAACTAGTTCAACCATTGTGGAAGTCAGTGTGGCTATTCTTCAGGGATCTAGAACTAGAAATACTGTTTGACCCAGCCATCCCATTACTGGGTATATACCAAAAGGATTATAAATCATGCTGCTATAAAGACACATGCACAAGTATGTTTATTGCGGCACTATTCACAATAGCAAAGACTTGGAACGAACCCAAATGTCCAACAATGATAGACTGGATTAAGAAAATGTGGCATATATACACCATGGAATACTATGCAGCCATAAAAAAGGATGAGTTCATGTCCTTTGTAGGGACATGGATAAAGCTGGAAACCATCATTCTCAGCAAACTGTCACAAGGACAAAAAACCAAACACCGCATGTTCTCACTCATAGGTGGGAATTGAACAATGAGAACACATGGACGCAGGAAGGGGAACATCACACACTGGGGCCTGTTGTGGAGTGGGGGGAGGGGGGGAGGGATAGCATTAGGAGCTATACCTAATGTTAAATGACGAGTTAATGGGTGCAGCACACCAACATGGCAAATGTAGACATATGTAACAAATCTGCACGTTGTGCACATGTACCCTAAAACTTAAAGTGTCATAAAGAAAGAAAGAAAGCCCTTCAAACCTTAACTTGTCTTTTATCCTTTACATTGGTGATTGCCATATTCATCTGCCTAGCTCCTAAGGGAGAATTCAGAATATAATCCAACACCCCATCTTCATTCCTAACCCACACCATCACCACTCCCCACATACCCAGATCATCGTCCTCCTCTCCATTCTCACAACCACTGCCTCAGTTTAACCACTGCCCTTGTGACGTCCCACCTATACCATGTGGTAGCCTCCAGCCTTGAGTCTCTAAACAATCGAATCTAGTCTCCACATCAATGCTGAGTATCTTTCTAAAATGCCATCTGGTCAAAGTGCTCCCCCACCTACAGGATTAATTCAAATTTGTTATTGAGGCATAAAAATCCACTTGTGATCTATCCCCTGCCTACCTTTCCAATCGCATCTTCTGACATTTTCCCAAAGGTATCCTTTATTCCAGCCACAGTAAAATACTTGTTCTCTGACAATAACATGTTCTCTATAGACAGCTTTCTACCCTGAAAACCTGTCCCCACCTTATCCCCTACCCTTTCAGCCCTTAATTCTACTCTGAAAATTCCTGTTCAGGTGATTTAGCCTGCATTATTTTTGTGGAAGTCTTTGATGACAACCCAATGCAAGTTAGGGGATTTTTTTCCCCCTGGGCTCCCATAGCATATTATTTGAGTCCCTATTTTACGATTTCCCACATTACACTGTATTGTTTCTTCATGTCTCATTACTCTCCAGATTGTAAACTCTTTACAGGGAGGTGCCTTGAGACTCTCTTTACCTGTATTTCCCACTGCTCACTCCATGTTTGATAAATGCATTAGTCATTGGATTCTGAATGCTGGGACTATGGACATAGCCAGCTCTAGCCTATCTTACCTACTCTCTCCTTTAAAGGAAACCTTATTACTTTCTCTGCTGGACCTGTTTCTAAATCAAATTAAGATAGCAAGATAATTATATATTATTGTCAATACTACACATAACTTTGTATTATCATTTTTAAAGCTGCAAGACAGAGAAGCTAGCTTAAAGTGTTCAAAATCTGGTTATTCCCGACTGAAGAAGGAGATTTATACATTTAATTTAAATCCAAAGTGTGCTGAACCCTCAAAGACTGGCAATGATATCTTCATTTCAAAGGGAAGGTTATAGTTAGACCATAAAATTGTTTGGTATTTGGATTCTCTTCATAATCCTGCCATATAAATTTACAGACTGATTTGTTTTTACATATCTTTGTCATCCTAGTTATTTTTATTTTTCCAATGGCATCTGCTTTTTGTTTGCTTCTCTCCATCCCTAACTTAAATCCAATTTACTGACACCATTGGCTGAACAGCTGCAGGATGCCTTTGCCCTCTCTGCTTTTGTTCTTAGGATTGCTCTTTCTTCTCTGCTGCAATCCCCAGACCTTACTGGGATGACTCCAACCCTCCAGCACTCAGGTCCTACTTCTTATATTGCCCCAAAGCTGATTAATGGTGGTTTCTTCTTCTGGATTGGCAACTGTGGTTTAGTATGAATGGAACTACTTAATAATAACAGTGGTGGTAGTAGTAATATTTATTGAACATTTGCTATGTGCCAGATACTCTGCTAAACAACTATCATATAGATTGTCATAATTCACTTTCATAGCACTCCTATGAGAGCTAGTGAGTGAAAGATCTCAAATTCAAACCCACACCCATCTGATTACAGGATAAAGCAGCAGCTCCTTAGCAGGGCTTGTGAAGAAAAAAGGTGAGAAATTCTATCTCTGTTCCTCTACCTGATTACAGGTTCCCCTCCCTGTCTTCTCACCTCACCACCTGCCTCCCTGATGGACCACTGATTGAAAGGACTGTTAATGAGATTTTTGCTCTCTCTCCTCTGCATCTTTACCTTTTCACAGCCAAGCAGGCAGTGGTTCTTCCCTGCATTGTTATGGCTGGACTGCCCAGTACACAGTAGTGTCATAAAACACACGCATACACACACACAGAGGGAGAGAGAGAGAGTGCAAATATGCACCACCAAGATTTTAAAAACAGCTCTGAAGAGATACTTTTCCTGCACAATCAACATCTCACTTCTGCTTAACTCCTGTGGTCTTTTCTGTTGACCCCCCTTGGTTCCTGATCCCGGGTACACCTCTGCCAAATAAATGCATTAAAACAACAATAACCTCTCATTGCTATCATTTTGCAAAAGAAACAATATTTTAAACACCAAACTAGACATAGTCTCAGATTGAGATATCTCTTAAGCAAAATAAATTTACCTTTATGAAAAAATATATGCTAGACTCATCTCCCAATACTAAAGCCATGTAGCCTACCACGATCTCAATCTTTAGATTGAGAAACAAACCTGGAACAACTCACAGACTCTCCAGTGCCAACCATTCTGCGAGAGTGATGTCTGCACTTCCACGCTCCAGATTCAGGAGAGATTTGAAGTAGCTCCTCTTCACAAAAAGGTAGGCATCCTTGGCTTGCATCACCTCCCTATTCTTTTTACTCATTCGTTGTTCAGAGAGTTAACCGACCCTTTTCTGAGCTACTCCAGGACATTGTACAGACTTCTGTTCTTATTATAGTATTTTTGGGTTACGGTTTGTCTGCCTCCTCCACTGTATTTTGAGCTCCTAAGGGCAAGGGTTTTGTCTATCTCATTTTGGCTTCCTCAGTGCCTAGCGCACTTTAGGCACTCAATCTGTTGAACAGAACTGACCCCTCACAGAAAAAAAACAAGCTCACTAAATTAATGGGAGGAACAGAGCTCAATGAAGTGTTTGGCAGAATAATTTTGTTAATGATTTTTAAAATTTTGTCAGTAATTTAAGACTGTAATCATTTTCAAACAGTTATTTAATTTTTGAGTCTTATTTTCAGTGAATGTAGGTTATATAAATTCCATTTCTAGATCTTTCCTTTTCCCACTGATGTCCCAAAGCAAAGGAATAAAGCTAGAGACCAGAGGATCCTAATAGGGTCATTATTCTCATTTGAGAACAATAACCTTGGAATCTCACCAATCACAATACCAGCTAGAGATCTGTTAGTCATTAATGATAAAGTTCATGCAAAGTTAAAACTATGTCTTAATCTCTTTGGGAGGCCCCATTACTTAGTATGTAATCAAATAATATATACTAAGTGAGTGAATAGATTAATTATTTTGGCAGAAAACTTAGTGTTCTAGTTTCTAAGAATAGAACAGTAATCCTCAGTATTTTTGTTCAGGGAAGTTGGGGGCAGGAGAGAGGAAGAGATGGGATAAGAATGAGCTGACAGATATATTTCATGCTCAGTGGTCTCACTTGAAATAAAGACATCACTTCCATGTTGTCTTGTCCTTTGATGCGAGTTTCTCAAAGACATCCAGACTGATCAGAGATTGTCTACACTCAGCAGTCCAGTCTTGATACTTTCTTAATCCATAGTCAAGAAACATGAAAGATATGCAAATTGTAAATTGTCTCTCTTCCATCTTCTCTCTCCTCCCTGAGTTCTATCTTTCTGCTTACCATAATGACTTAATAAATTGATTCTTAATTCAAGTTATAGAATTAAATATTATGTCTGAAATACCACTGGATGCATTTTGAACTTCCCACCATGTACTAGGCACTACTCTAGGCATTGGGTATATTGTGATGAAGAAAACGAAGGTCATCCCTAATTTCATGGAGTTTTATTCTGATAAGAAAGACAGATAGTGACCAGGAAACAAACATGTACACAGTTTCACAGAATGATAAATGAAGACAGTAAAGTGGAGAAATGGAATAAAGATCACTGAGGAAGTAGGATACAGCCACCTTACAAATATAGTGACCAGGAAAAATATTTTTGAGGAGGTCTCAGTGCTAAAAAGAGGAATAATTCCTCCCTACTCAAGCCAACTTGCTCAACGACATTTATCAATCAGAGTCATTTTCAGTTATAGCCTCCTTCAAAGAAGGGTTTATGTCAAAGTTCAGTGACTTATAAGAGATGTTCTATAAGTGGCCATTACCTGATTAATCTTCCTTGCATATGCACTTAGAATCCCGTTAACTGGAAAAATCATTGGGTTGCTCCAATGAGCCTCTGACAGTTACACAAGAAACTTATTCCTCATCAAAGATTTACCCAAACTACCAGAGACCACCTGACGATGTGTTTTACTTTCTTTCACCCTAAATGCTCTTCACCCACTGGGATATTATCTGTTGACATGCAACATCTGTTGTTCATTTTCGAACACTAATCCCTGCGGTGTGTCCTTTGGGTGATCAAGCTTGCTCTAAAGCTTGCTATAAAATATTCAAGAAGATTTGGACTCTCCTATTTTTCCACTGACATTTTTACCCCTCCTTTGATTTCAACTTGATTTTATTTTTCCTTTGCTTCCCTTCCCACTATTTTACTTCTTTCTTTAAGTAGGGCTTTTCTGTTCTTCTATGTGTACACACTGCTTTGAGCACATGCTCTTAAACTTACAAAGCTCACACAATTCAAGCAAGTTATACTTTTAGAAAAAAATCCCTTACACTAGCATTATTTTATTAGAAAATAAAACTTTTTAAAAGGTCAAACCTATTCTTCTGGGAAAAACATGTTTTTCATATTTAGGGTCAATCAAAATTTATACTTCAGAGACCTGTCATAAACTCCTAGGTGTTAGGAACCCCTCCTTCATCACTGACTTTGAAGTTAGGAGTTTAAACCAAAGATAATAAAAAGAATCACACTTATATTTATACTTGTCCAATACCTTCATTCCAAGACATAATAACAACCTTCAAGTAAATTAAACTCTCAATCACTTTTTTCACAGATAAATATTATGATGAATAAGTAGTAGTATGTTAATCTGCCAGACACACAATAAAAACTGTGCTAAAACTAAAATAACAGGTCTCCATGAATTATTTCTATTATATTTTCTCCTCCTTCTGCTTCCAAGAGTCCTCCCTTGCCCTATCTTTCAATTTGCTCTGAAGTGGCTAATTTTGATATGAAAGACTTCTGTCTTCCAATCATTTCAATGACAATGCACTGAAATTGTTAAACAGTATGTTACTCGATATTAAAACTACGACAGAATGGGTTCATTGGGAAGTATAATTTGTTTGACATTTTCATCTTTCCAGATGTTACAGAAGTTTCCTTTATTCACCAAGCCAAAGAACTGGGATACATAAATAGCTTTGAAATTGACAGGTAATTTCAAAATAGTTTACAAAAATCAAATTTTTTCCCTGATTCCTTCTCCACGCCTTCTCTGAAAATTTCAGGAGCAACATTTCCTATGAGCAAAGTGCTCAAAAGGTAACATGTTCTTCACTTCTGGTACATTTTTAAAATTCCATAAAGTATGTCATAAGACTCTTCCTAAATCTTCAAAATTCCTGGTCCTATGACCAATAAATTAATCAAAAGCCATATGTTATCTAGTGAGTCTCCCCAGGACATGATAGATGTCCATGTGGCCTACAATCTAAATACTGGGCAGCTCAGGAATTCTGTGGAGGGAGAGAGGATGGAATGAGAAGCAGAGACCTATTCACATCCCAGCTCCATTCATATCCATCCTGGTAACTCTGGGCAAGGCAAGCCTCCTCTACAGGCCTCAGGTTCAGGCAGAGATGGAGTAAAATAAGGACTTTTGACTCTAATTTCCTTTCTTGCTTTAAAAGTATAACTTATTCATTTGTTGAAAGTCACCACTGGAAAGCAACAGGCAAAGTAATCGAGAATAAATAAGCCACACTGTGTGCTCTCCAGCCCCATTTTCACTTTAAACTGTCCCACCAGTACTCCTCACACAAATCAAGACAGCTGGGTTAACTCGAACCTTGTGGGGAAAGCATTTATATCACCACAGGAAGGGGATTCAGAGTACTCAGCCTCTACTAGATTCATTAAAATGGGTACATAGACCAGAGAGCACATCAAGTTAAGATTTTTCTAACACAGAGATCCAGCTCTTTCAAACATTAGAGAATGCTTCCAATTGGAGGAAGACTTAGGTGGCATTTCTCCCCTAGTAGAGGAGCTGTTCCAGAAGCACTTTGATATGCCAAGAGAATTAATTCAGGTGACCAGAGCAAGGGGTTTCCACATGTGCAGGTGGTGAAGCCTATTCATGAAACACTTCCCAGCAGCCCAACCCATAAGGAAGTGCTGCCTCCAGATCTGTTTGAGCACTGCTGCAGTCTGGTTTCCTCCTTAATGTGGAAAACCTATGTTTCTGATTATTTTCCCAAAACTGGCATGAACTAGCAGTGAGTAACACATTGCAAAAGAGCTCTGTGCTGGGCAGCCACACAAGCTACGGCCCTTCAGATCCAGTGTGGCAACACTAGGAAAGGGTCGGGCCTTCTGGCTCCCACCACAGCCCCTCTGCCGAACAGCGCCGTGGGGCCACCTCACACAGGCCTTTCCACCTGCCCACCCCACACTGGCTTTTCTAAGCTGCCTCTTGCTTTGCAAGGTCTCCCAGCTTCATTCACACTGCAAATTTCATTCCATTACCATGTCGAAGCCTCCTCCCAGATTATTAATCAAGATGTGAAATAAGATAAAACCTAATCCGCAGTCCCTCAGCTACGAATGCTCAAAGCCAGGCTCATTAAACATATCTGTCAACAATGGATTACACCAGCCTTAGGCCCCAAATTGATTGGAAGTCAGGAGGAGGCAGTGGGGTGGGTTTGGGGGGAAGCATTTGGTTGCACAATATATTCAAAAGAAGGAATTCCTTTTAAGGTGTGGCCAATTAAATCTGTTCAGAGATAAGTATAGGCTATACAGTTTTATAGATTCTTTTCTCCAGTTGTTAATGGCAGCCGAAGTGATGGGAACACAGAACTGGTAATTCATGTACCATGTGTGTGAAAAGCTGAAAATCATTATGAATGGAAGTAAAGCAATATGCCATCTTGGAAGCAAACCCAGTGAATTCTTGCATGGATTCAAATGCTATTTCCTTGTGTCAAAAAAAAAAAGAGAGAAAAAAATATTGAATTCTGTTTAAGTGTTTAAAGTCACATTTCACTAAGGTTCTTATCTATCATCCTGTCATTAGCATCCTCACCACCATCCCCATCCTGAGATACTTTGTATTTATATTGGGCTTTTCAAGTTCAAAGCACAAAGCAGACATACCAGGCAATTAATCACTTTGAGGAATGTGAGTTGGGTGGAATGCCTTCCCAGCAAATGTATTCCTAACGTGTCACTGGAGGATCCAGTCAATGGGAGTGTTCCTGGCCCACAATTTGATGTCGTAAGTTGGCAGTTTGTCAGATTTCAAATATACTTTTTCACCTACCAAACTGACAGCCCTATTTACTGAATCAAAGGAAAAGTGATTTTACCAATCTTTTAACATTAAGAATTACTCTTCTCCATTTGGGTGTTTTGGGTAGTAGCCACATTTTATACACATCAGAAGGAACAAAAAGCATGGGAGAAGTAAAATTAAATAAATATATTAGTTGTTTTACAATGAGAAAGTGAGCAATAGGGAAAAAAATCAAATCTGAAGAGATTTATAATGGGAAACAGATGTGGACATGAAAGTGATTTGAAGTAACCAACAGGCTCCAGACATCTTCCAAGAATATGTTTCATATACATAAACATTTAACAGCACAATAACTAGGCCAAAATTGCCCAATTTCAAAACTTCACCTGCGTTCCTAAGTTTGCTTTTTGTTCCTTGAGATTAAATAGGACAAGCAGAGTTTCCCATATTTGAGCTGTTTATTAACAATTATTTATGATGGACAATGAAATGAGGCATATCTGTTTTGCTTTTCTGTCCTGGTAGGTTTTATATTCTGCTTCCAATTCCCATACCCCCGTGCTGTTCTATTTGAATTTCCAATGCAGCAGAGGAAATGGCTTCTAAAATATTAAAATCCTGTTTTCATTGACTTTCTTTACGCTTTGTGACCACATTTCTATTCAGATCAGGTTGCACAGCTTTTAACTTCTCCAAGTCTAAACTTAAAGTTAGAGCAACTTCATGGTACTCCTTAAGTGGATATCTCTTATAACAAGGGAGAACGCAGTCTGGAAACTTCAGAGCATCCAGGCCAATGGGATGACTCTTAAAAAAAAAAAAAAAAGAGATTTTTATTCCAGTTTTCTGATTTTTTGAAATGGTCTTGAACTACAACTGCATTTTGAAACAGGGGCTCCTTTGGAGCAAGACACCAATCTGGTAAAGTTTCCAAGAGAACAAACTTGCCTGGGTTCACATGGCTGAAAAAGAAAGTCTCAGCCATGTCCCCAGTACTCACCCTATGATTTCTCTCCTGACCTCCAATCTTGCATTCTCTAAATCTCAATTTTCTACACAGGAATTCTTCTTATTGTTCTCATATTATCCCTTTTGCATATTGCTTGGCCTCCCTGAAGGCCAAGAAATGCAGTCAAGGAAAATGAAGCTGGCCATTCTCTATGAGACAATCAGGTTCTAAAGCCTCAGCTCAGTCTCCAAAGAAAAATTATCTGTGAAGTTGAACTTGGGGCCTCCAGAGTCTGCCCCCAGGAATCCTGATTGCCTTTCCCTAAGTAACAACCCTCACTGTAATATTACAGTTCTAATAATTAATGCCTCTATGCTGTTTTATAGTTCACAAAGCATTTTCATATCTTCACAAGAGTTCTGTGACAGAAGGTGGCAGGTTTTGTGTTAGCTATAGTTTACAGATGAGGAAACTTTCATTCAGAGAGGTTCTATGAATTGTCTAAGATCACAAAGATAATTAGTAGAGAAGCTAGGGCTCTACATCAGGACTTCTAATTTCCAATCCTATTTTCCTTCCTACATACTGCTTGTGTTCCTATCATTTCATTTCCTGAAAGCAGGGTCATTCTCAGAAGTTTTTGTTTTCCTGGCGCCTCCCTTTCCTCTCAAGTACAAGTAGTTGACAGAAGGTTTGGGAAATCCATTCAGACTACGGTCAAACACCCTGTGGGCGGATGTGGTCTGTCTAAACTCCATCCCAATTCATTTCACTTGGATCTAAAGTAAGTCTCGGTCATGTTACAGATGGTTTTTAATTTAACAATTACTTATGAAGCACCTTCTTTTCAGGCACTAAGCTCTGAGGAGATAACAATCGATAAGACTGACCCCTCGCCAGCCATTGAGGAGCTCACAGTCTAAATTAGACATATAATTACAGTCAAATAGAACAAGTCATACAAAAGAGGGCACTCAGGGCACTGAACAGAAATGATCATGGAAGGCTTCCTGGAAAAGGTGGCATCTAAATTAAGGCCTGAAAGATGAGGTAGCCAAGTGAAGAGATGGGGAAAACTATTTCAGTTAAAATATATATGTATATTTCACAGGCGAGTTGTTGTTTTATGGATATAGAGTTGCAGTTTGACAAGATGAAAAAGTTCTTGAGATCAGTTGCACAACAATGTGGAGACATATAACATTACTGAACTATATGTATTTTAACTCAATTAGAAATAAAATGTATGCATTTTTTTTGGCATGTAAAATGAGGCTAAGACCAGTCCCACTTAATGTAAATCCCGGGCCACCATTCCTGAACCTTTTACTGATTTTACATCATTCCCTGGTGAGAAATTTCAGTCCCGTTATTGATTAACTCTGATAAGAGACAATCCTAAGTAAAAGGAGTATTAATTCTGGTTTTTCCGAACTTCAGCCTCCTGAAGAGCTTACCTCCTTTATAGACCTCCAGAGCTCCTCCAGACCTGCCCAGATCAACCATGTTAAAGCACAAGCAAGGGAACTTTTCTTTCAGCTGAGGCCAGGCTAAGGCAAGGGAGAGAGGATCCAGGCATGATGATTTAAAATGGTGCCAATCAAACAAACTCATGTAAATAAATTATCTTGTGGTAAGAAATCCATGCCTTGCAGGTTCATCTATTCCTAGGATTTTGTGGGTTTTAAAAAATTGGTTTAAATAATGTTCCTTCTGAGCATCCCTAGTTTGAATTGGCAAGGGGAATAGGATATTCCATTTGTAGTGGTAGCAGCTTCTGAATCTCTGGAGGGCTGGGAAACCCCGACAGAGTAGAAGCAGTGAGGAAGGGGGCCCTGGGCCTAGTGTGATTGCTGCTGCTTCCCACACAGGGTCAAATCATACTAGTCCAGCACACCAGGCATATTCCCATTTTCTCAGAACACTAGGAAGAACTGTCAGCATTGGGACTTTCAAAGCTGGAAATTCTGTGAGGAAAATGTGAGCAACAGGAGGAAAAGGGTTACCCAAGAGCCATCTCACCTGGTTTCTCCCTGTGTCCCTCCTTCCCTACCCTTCCCCATTTACTTACTCCAGAAAATTGTACACTCCTCATAGGCCAATGAGTGACCGACTTGTCCATTTTCTATTGCTATAATGGAATATCACAGAATGGGTAATTTATAAAGAAAAGGAGTTTATTTAGCTCATGATTCTGTAAGCTGGGAAGTCCAACAGCATGATACTGGCATCTTGCAAGGGTGTTCATGCTGTGTCATAACATAACAGAAAGTGAAAGGGCAAGCAAGTGAGTGCCAAAGAGAGCACAAGAGAGAGCCAATCTCACTTTTATAACAACTCACTCCTTCAAGAACTAACTCCCATGATAAAAGCATTAATCCATTCATGAGAGCTCTGCCCTCATGACTCAATCACCTCCTATAGGCCACACCTCTTAATACTGTTATATTAGCAATCATGTTTCCAACACATGAACTTTTGGAGGACACATTCAAACTACAGCAGTAATCATATAGGTTCTGAGGTACACCAAGCCTGAAACTGCAAGGTAAGCAATACTAAAAACCTACCTGAGATTCTTTTGTTTTTTCAACCCATTACTTCAAATACTTATCATGTACTCCTTCTGTCTACCTGAAAACTGTACCCTCTGACCAACATCTCCTCATTCCCTCCACCCAGTCTCTGGTAAGCACCAATCTGCTCTCTGCTTCTGTAAGTTCTATTGTTTTAGATTCAAAATATAAGTTAGAACATGTGGTATTTGTCTTTCTGTATATGGCTTATTGTACTTAACATAATGTCCTCTAAGTTCATTTATGTTGTTGTGAATGACAGAAGTTCCCACTTTTTTAAAGGATAAATAGCACTCCCTTGTGTTATATGCCAAATTTTCTTTATCCGTTCATCTGATGATGGACATTTAGGTTGATTTCACAACTTAGCTATTGTGAATAATGTTACAGTGAACACAGGCATATAGATACCTCTTTGACATACTGATTTCAAATCCTTTGAATATATACACAGAAGTGAAATGGCTGAATAATATGTTAATTCTAGTTTTAGTTTTTTGAGAAACCTCCATACAGTTTTTCCATGTCTAACTTATATTCACACTCACAATGTACAAGGGTTCTCTTTTTTCCATATCCTTGCCAACACTTGTTATATTTCACTTCTTGATAATAGCGATCCTGAAAGGTGTGAGGTGATATCTTATTGTGGTTTTAATTTGCATTTCTCCAATGATTAATGATGTTGAGAATTTTTTCATATATCTGTCGGCCATTTGTATGACATCTTTTAAGAAATGCTTATTCAGCGCTTTTGTTTTTTTTTAAATCGGGTTATTTGTTTTATTGCTATTGAGTTGTTTGAGCTCCTTATATATTTTGGATATTAACCCCTTATCAGCTGTATGGTTTGCAAGTATTTTCTCCAAGTCCATAGGTTGCCTCTTCACTCTATTAATTGTTTCCTTTGCTGTGCAGAAGCTTTTTAGTTTGATGTAATTCTATTTGTCTATTTTTGTTTTTCTTGCCTGAGCTTTTGTGGTCAAACCCAAAAAATCATTGCCTAGACCAATGTTGTATATATTTTCCTTTATGCTTTCTTCCAGTATTTTTACAGTTTCAAGTCTGATGTTTAACTCTTTAATATATTTTGAGTTGATTTTTGTATATGGTATGAGGTAAGGGTCTAATTTCATTTCTCTGCCTGTAGATATCCAGTTTTCCCAGCACCCTTTATTGAAGTGACTGTCCTTTTCTCGTAGTTTATTCTTGATACCATTGGCAAAAATAAGTTAACCATAAATGCATGGGTTCATTTTGGGCTCTCTCTTCTGTTACATTGGTCAGTGTGTCTATTTTCATGCCTATATCTTGCTTTTTAAATTACTATACCTTTGTAATATAGTTTGAAGTCAGGTAGTCTACTGCCTCCAGCTTTGTTCTTTTTGCTCAAGATTGCCTTAGCTCTTTGGGAGCTTTCATAGTTCCATATGAATTTTAGGATTGTTTTTTCTATATCTGTGAAAAGTAGCATTGGAATTTTGATAGGGATTTCATTGAATCTGTAGATCACTTTGGCTAGTATGGATATTTTTAAACATTAATTCTTTCAATCCATGGACACAAAATATCTTTCCATTTATTTGTGTCATCTTCAATTTTTTTAATCAAAGTTTTATATTTTTCAGTTTACAGATCTTTCATCTCCTTGGTTGAATTTATTCCTAAGTATCTTTTGCAGCTATTGCTTTCTTCATTTCTTTTTTGGATAGTTTGTTGTTAGTGCATAGAAATGCTACTGATTTTTGCTTTATTTTATATGCTGCAACTTTATTCATTTATTAGTTCTAACTTTTTTGTGGAGTTGTTAGGATTTCCTATATATAAGATCATGTCATCAGCAAATTGCAATTATTTCAATTATTCCTTTCCAATTTGGGTGCCTTTTTTTCCTTGCCTAATTGTTCTGGCAAGGACTTCCAATATTATGTTGAATAGATGTGATAAGAATGGGTGTCGTCTTGTTCCTGATCTTAGAAGAAAAACTTTAAACTTTTCACCCTTAAGTATGATGTTAGCCGTGTACTTGTCACATATGACCTTTATTATATTTAGATATATTCCTTCAATACCTAATTGTTGAGGTTTTTATCATGAAAGAATGTTGAATTTGTCAAATGCATTTTTTCCATTTAATGAGATGATCATATGGTTGGTTTTTTTCCTTCATTCTATCATTGTGGTGTATCACATTTCTAGATGTGTATATGGTGAACCATCCTTGCATCTCTGGGGAAAATCATGGTGAATGATTGTTTTAATATGTGGTTGGATTTGGTTTGCTAGTATTTTGTTGAGGACTATCTGAGATTCTTAAGTTCTATAAAATACTTATCTCAGAAAAAAGTCATAGTCAGCTGTGAACTCCAGCAAACACATCAGAATCTTTCAAAGGGTCCCCAAAGGTTTCAGGATGATGATCCAACCATCATAACATGGCACTGTTAAATATGCTGCTATAACAAAAAAGCCAAAATACTGTGATTCATAGCAGACAGATGTTTTTCACCTAACATTACAGAAGGAAATTGGCAACCGACATCACTTTTGCTCATATCTCATAAGCCATAACTAGTCTTAAAACTAGACTGGAAACTGTAATCTCTAGCTGGATATCCCTACGTTCAGCTAAAACTTGGAGAGTTTAGTTCCAAAATGAAAGAGGGGAAAACAGGTGTTGAGAGACAACTCAGGGTCTACGTTTTCTCCCACCTCTGTCTGTACATGCTATACTCAGAATGCCTCTGGCTTGGATAATTCCCTATATCCTTAGGACATAGTTCCAGCATCACCTTCTCTGGGACACAAGCCCCTACTCTGCACTCTCAGAGGATCTGTGCTTCTTTGTCTACCCCACCACTTATCTCACTCTTATTGTAATTGTCTATCTGTCAGCTTTCCTACCAGACCAGGGTTCACAAGAATGGGCACCATATATGTTCTTTATTTTTATATTCACAGAGCCCAGGCTAGCTCATGGTTTCTAATGGGTGTATAATAATGACTGTAGAATGAAGGAAAAAAATACAAGAGCAGAAATGATCTGAAAATCCTAATTAGGCTTCTGTTTCAGATAATCCAAGAATTGTCTATATTATTTCTTAAAAGTAAGAATTTTAATTTTTTACCAGCCTAAATATGACTGGTTCCTAGTCTTGTCCATATTTCATATTAATTCTAATGCTCCTGCAAAGGCAGAGATTTTTTCTCAAAAATACTATTAAAATAACGCAGGCAACAAAGTGTGGCCATTAAATTAAGGAGGAAGTGGGTTACTTAGAATTTGGAAAAGCAGATTCGCTATAAAAATATCTTATGCATGCTAGTTTACCACCAAAAAAAAACCCTATTTTATATATATAATAAAATAAAATCAATCTCTGCTATTCAAATTGGAATCTCCTATTGCACTGCAGTGTAGCATTCAATGCAACAGTGGGGAAAACACCAATGTTTGTAGAGCAGATGAAATCCTCTAGTTGGGCATTATTGTAACAGGAAGACATGAGTGGATGGAGAGCTCCACCTTGGGTAACTCAAATCCCCCACAGAGCCATGGAGAAAGAACACCTGGTCTGCTTCTTCTCACCCCATCTGCCCTGCACCTGAGCACTCAGCTATTGTTACTTCTCTGTTTCACCAACAGAAGCAAGGATAACTTGTCCCATCAATAAACAAGCTAACAACTCAACAGGCTTTTTTTTCTAAACTACTAACTTCACTGTAAACTAAACTAAAGAACTACGGAACAAGAAGAGTTGTCAGACTTCAGGAAAACCACTTCCCAGGGGTGAATTTTCGTTGAAAGAGTCACGTGGCCTGAAAACTGTTGGGAAATTCAATCCTGATCAAACGAAGCTCCTTCCCCAAATCTAAACCCAGGAGTGTCTCAACTAGAACAGGAAACTTACAACAGGAGTAATATTAAATACTGAAATTTCTATCACATGGGTAGCAATGCAGGAATTTCACATTGAAACCTAATATCCAAATACACAAAATCTCATTTACAATAGCATCGAAATGACTAAAATACTTAGGATCACATTTAACCAATAAGATTTGCACACTGAAAGCTATAAAACATTGATGAAAGAAATTGAACACACAAATAAAGTTATCCTATTTTCATTGATTGGAAAAATTAAAATTGATAAAATGTCCACACTACCCAAAGTGATCTACAGATTCATGCAATCTCTACCAAAATTCCAATGGCATTTTTCATAGATGTAGAAAAAAATCCCAAAATTTTCATGGAACCACAAAAGACCTCAAATAGCCAAAACAATCTTGAATTTAAAAACAAAGCTGGTGGCATCACATTTCCTGATTCAAATTGTATTACAAATCTATAGTAATCAAAACAGATAAATAGATCAATGTGTCTCTTTTCAATAGAATAGAGAGCCCAAAAATAAATCCATGCATTTATGGTCAACTAATCTTTGACAAGGGCACTAAGGATATATAATGGAGAAAGGATAGGTTTTTAAATAGATGGTACTGGGGAAACTGTATATCCAAACACAAAAAAAATGAAACTGGACTCTTATTTTATACCATATACAAAAATTAAATCCAAATGGATTTTGATTAAAAAACTTAAATGTAAGACCTGAAACCATAAAATTCCTAGAAAAAAACATGGAGAAAAGCTCTTTGACGTTGGTCTGGGCAATGATCTTTTGAATATGACCCAAAAAAGCACTGGCAACAAAAGCAAAAACAACAAGTGAGACTACATCAAACTAAAAAGCTTCTGCACAGAAAAGGGGAAAAAAATCAACAAAATGAAAAGGCAACCTATAAAATGTGAGAAAATATTTGCAAACCATATATCTAATCAGGAGTTAATATCCAAAATATATAAGGAACTCATACAATTCATTAGCAAAAAATATAACCCAATTAAAAAGTGGGAAAATAACCCGAATAGACATTTTTCCAAAGAAGACACAGAAATGTTCAATAAGTATATGAAAAGGTACTCAACATCACTAACTATCAGGGAAATACAAATCAAAACCACAATGAGATAACCACCACGAGATATCATTTCATACCGAATAGGATAGTTATTATCAAAGAGACAAAATATAACAAGTGTTGGTGAGGGTTTGGAGGAAAGGGAATTCTAGTACACTGCTGGTGGGAATATAAATTGGTATAGCCATTATGGAAAATATTATGGAGGTTCCTTAAAAAATTAAAAACTGAGCTACCATATGATCCAGCAATCCCAGTTCTGGGAATATATCCAAAGGAAATGAAATCAGTATCTCAAAGAGATCTCTGCATTCCCATGTTCACTGCAGCATTATTCACAAAGCTAAGATACTGAAACAATCTAAGTGTCTGTCAATCGATGAATGGATAAAGAAAATGTGGTGTGTGTGTGTGTGTGTGTAAATACACAATAGAATATTATTCAGCCATTAAAAAGGAAATCTTGCCATTTTCAACAACATAGATAAACCTGCAGAACATTATGTTAAGTAAAATAAGCCAGACACAGACAAACACTGTATGATCTGACTTACATGTGGAATCTAAAAAAGTTGAACTCATAGAAGCAGAATAGAACAGAATAGAATGGTAGTTGCCAGAGAGTAGGGGTTGAGGTAGAATGGAGGGATGTTCATCAAAGGGTACAAATTTTTAGCTGTAAGATGAATAAGTTCTGGGGATCTAATGTACAGTATGTTGACTATTGTTAATAATATTTATTGTATACTTTAAAT
This sequence comes from Homo sapiens, assembly GCF_000001405.40. Lineage (NCBI taxonomy): Eukaryota > Metazoa > Chordata > Mammalia > Primates > Hominidae > Homo > Homo sapiens. Next base: position 91,666,928 of record NC_000007.14, read on the forward strand.
TTGTTAAGACAGTAGATCTTAAGTGTTCTCACCACACACACACACACACACACACACACACACACAATGTAAGGTGATAGATGTATTAATTAGTTTATGACAACATTTCCATGATTTATATGGATATCAAATCATCAGTTACCCCATAAATATGTATAATTCTTATCTGTCAATTATACCTCAGTGAAGCATGAGGGAAAAAAAAGAAATATTGCCAAGTAGCTTCTCAAAAGGTCATGCAAATTTGCATTTCTATTGGCAGTGTGTGACAGTAGCCATCTCATCATTTCTTTGTCAATGCTGCATTTTTAACAAAGCTTCCAGGTACTTCAAAACATTTTTGGAAATGAGCAGGAATATTTCCATATTAATAAAAATCAACTCTCCTATCTCCCACTTTCAAATTTCTAGTCATACAGCAAAGTTGCATTCATACCCTAAAGCTGATAATGCAGCTATAGAAAATTTTGATGACTAACAAATCTTATATAATAATAGATGTTTTCCCAAATTCCTGTTCTTAATAAAGATCTTTTCCCTTTGGTGATACCACTTATATTTGATACCTCTAGCATGTTAAATAATTTAATAGAATTTTTTAAATGTGCTGGTAGTTGGAATTGCAATGTTTGGGGGATGATTTTTCTCTAAGATTGAATTTTGGAGGCAAGCTCTAAACAATTATGTAAGCAACTGGAGAGCATTCTCAATGATTTTATAAGCTATCATATTGGCTCAGATATGATAATTTACAAAGCGGCCTGAGACCATTTTTGTCTTTAGCTACAAAGGGGTTTCTCTAATATCCTGATTGAGCTTTCCTTTGATACTTCACAATTGTCTATAGCTTCACTCCACCACCCCAACAGACCTCCAGAACTCTTTATCAAAACAATAACCTACCTATGGGGGGCAGAGAGAGAAATTATTAATGATATTTTAAGTTGGACTCACATCAAACAAATTTACCGGCAGAAGAAACAAATACAAGATAATGACTCATCCTACCTCAACCTTTTTTTTTTTTTGAGTTTTTACTTATTTATTTTTTGTGCAGCATTTCCACTTTTCCAGTAAGAATGAAATATATATGCAAGTACACGTTATGAAATATAGTATACTGCACTCCATTGAATGGTTATAGAATAAAAGATTCAAGTTAAAAGAAGCCTCACAAATTTCTAGCCCAATCTTCTTATTTTGCAAATAAAATCCGTAAAAAGGAAATGATATGACCTGTCTGTGGTCCCAGAGTAACACATGGAAGAGAAAAAATATCAACCAAGGGCTTTTGCTCCACAGTCAGATTTAGTCACCATGCATCAATTTTGACTTCTCAGCAAGCTCTTAAAAGGATAGTCTACCTATAAAGGCAAATAGTAAATAACAGTTGGTATCATTTACTTTATTAAACACTTTCAATGTGCCAGGCTCTTTGCATAGGTTTTCCCACTTTATCTTTACAACTTCCTCATAGCATGTGGCAACAGAGGAAAGCAATCATTAGGTGATTTGCTCAAGGTCACACAGTTAGGAAACAATATACACAAGGACTGGGACCTAGAGTGTGCTACTCAAAGTGTGGTCCATAGACTATCTGATTAGAAATCCCAAATTTCAGGCCCCATCCCAGACCTAATGTTCATAGTCTTCCCTTTAAAAAGATCCCCCAGTGATTCACACACACATTCAAATTTGAGCAGCACTGGAAAATCCAAAGCCTGTTTTTTTTAACCATTTCACAGTACTGCCTCTAACCTCTGGAAAAGTCAAAGATACTATTAAAAACTACCGTGTGGACATCACATAAGTAAGAATTAAATACAGCCCACTGCCTTAAGAACTTTTAAAGATCAACATTCAACTCTAGGAGGAAAACTACAAACAACCAATATCCGAAAACTGCAGAATAGTCCATGTTTAGATCTACCAAAGGTCATGTTTACATCAATTCCAACAAGAGCAAAATTTTAATCCACAAACACATAAAGATTCTGATATTGTTATTAATGGGAATCTCACAAATATGTGAAAACCAGGAAAACTAGCAAGTTCTTGTGAGATACTTCCATTCTCTCTATCTTGTGAGATACTTCATTCTCTCTATCTCTTCCATCCTCTCTATCTCAATTTCGTCTCTCCAGATTGGAGGAAGGCAAGGAGTCACACATATTTGAAAAAGAATTTTAAAACCATAATGTTACTTCCAAGAAAAATTATCACAAATATAATATATTGAGATAGTGTTCTCATTAGGTAATAAAGACTAAAAAAAAAATAAAACTGACAGCAAGTTGGATACAGAAGTCCCAACCACTGCCCATAGGAACACACCCCAGTTAGTCTTCTTGCCATAATTTCTCCAAAAAAACAACTTGACATTTTTGAATCCATAAATAACACATGGAATCTGTAAAGTACAACATAAATAATAGGCCAAAATTATTTACCAGAACTTACAGTGAAAACGCTACAGAGAGGGAAAGAAAAGGCACTAAACTGTACAATTAATGTTACAAAGTTACATTAGCACATAAATAATTTCAGTGGCAAGTCATAGGATTCACATGCATATTTTATTACACTGTAAGAAATAATTTTTCAATTTGACCCTGATCCTTCTGTGTACTTTGAAGTCTGCAAATCAGCAGTATAGCCTGTAAGTTTAAAGAAATTTAGAAAGAATTGTGAAGTTAAAAGGTACTTTTGATGTTTGTTCTTTTTCTCCCATCACAACGGCATTTGATACAACCAAAGAAAAGTGGAAAATGTTAATGCCCAAGAAATTTCCATTGCAGGCATATTCATTTAACCCTTTATGACCACGGCCTGTCATAGGTCAAAGGTTAACACAAGTTCTCAGTGTTCTTAGTTCCCAGGCCCTGTCACCCTCCTCCTCTTTTTAATAACTCTCAATACTATCACTGAACCTCCTTCCTGCATACTGTTGCAATCAGCTCCCAACTTCTCTTCCTGTCTTTTCCCCCCTCATTTTACACAGTGTTTCAGGCTGAATCTTCTGAAGCACAGCTCAGATCACAGTACTCCCCTGCTCAAAAACCTTCAGTGGCTCCCCTTTATCTGCCAAAGGAAATTCACGCAACCTAACTCTCAGGGCCTTTTATAATATGGTCCCAACTACCTTTCCAATTTATTTCCCATGGTTCCTACATACAAACCTTAATTGCAGGTCATACTGAATCTTTGCTATTTGCCACCTCACAACTTTTTCCTTTCTTGACTTTGCTTATAGCAAGGTTGATATAGAGCACAGACCTGAGAGCTAGACTGGCATGTTTGAATCCCAGATTGACCTCTTGGTAGCTGTGTGGCTTTGGGCAAGTCATTTAGACTCTCTGTGCATCAATTTTCTCATATGCAAAATGGTGACAGTACCCATCTTACAGGAGTGTTAGGAGGAACACTTGAGTTAATAAAGTATAGGCTGAGTGTAAACATATGAGGTTTGCTGTCATTGCTACTATTACTGTTTTCCTCCTAAATTCTCAACTGCTTACCCTCACTCCCCGTTCTCTCTCAAATGTGAATGTTTTTCTCCTCCTATCTCTGTGTTCAAATCCACCCTTCAAGATCCAGCTCAAATGAGACCTTTTCCATGAATTCATCTCAATTGCTCTTAAGGAATGCCTGGCATTTTAATAGGCAATGAAAATGATTTGTTAAAGAATATGATTTAGCACTGACCATTCTGTATGGTAAATGCCAGATTACAGGTCTTTCTCCTCGACTGAACTCAGCCGAGGTCAGCCACAGCTGTACCTCCAGCGCTGGCCCAATAAGCATCAGTCCCTAGCATCCCTAAATAAATGCCCATTCATGAATAAATAAATAAAGTTGAATTCCTCTAGCATCATATTTGCACTTACTTCATGTCCATTTTCTCTTATTATATTAATTAGGGTATATATACATATAGAGAGAGAGCGAGAAATTACTAACATATTATATTAATCGGTAAGATCCATATTTGACTTACCTTTATATTTCTGGTGACCAGCACTAACTCATATATAGTAGATGCTTAATTTAAAAGAAAGGTGGCAAGGCCGGGCACGGTGGCTCACGTCTATAATCCCAGCACTTTGGGAGGCCGAGGCAGGTGGATCACGAGGTCAGGAGATGGAGACCATCCTGGCTAACACGGTGAAACCCTGCCTCTATTAAAAAATACAAAAAATTAGCCGGGTGTGGTGGCAGCCGCCTGTGGTCCCAGCTACTCGGGAGGCTGAGGCAGGAGAATGGCGTGAACCCAGGAGCGGAGCTTGCAGTGAGCCGAGATCGCGCCACTGCACTCCAGCCTGGGCGACAGAGCAAGACTCCGTCTAAAAAAAAAAAAAGGAAAAAGAAAAAAAAGAAAAAAAGAAAAAAGAAAGGTGGCAGAGAGAAATGAAGTAGAGAAAGGAAGGGAGGAGGGACTATGTCAAACACTATTGCTAATGTATTGCGTGAAGAATTCCCCTTTTGCTGATTCCCACTGTCAGAATGCCTCTATCCAGACCAACAGAAAATTCATTATGCCATAAAAATTAACTTTATTATGCAAGATTTCTCCAGATTCCAAAGCATATGCCAGCCACATTGCCAAGGATTTTTTTACAAGCCTCCATCCCAACTTATTATCTCCTTATAAAAAGAAACAAGGGGTAGAGAGTATGTCTCCACAAAATGGAAAAACCCTCAAAGAGGTGTTTTTTTTTCTGTTCCTTTACCTTGTGGGCAATTCTTATGGTGTGTAACTGTCCCATGGCTCAAGGTTAGAGCAGGGATTTCTCTTTCTCCCATCCCTACTATGTAATTCAAACATTCTGCATACTCCTTCATCTGGAATGCTTCTGGCAGCCAGCTAAACAAGATTGTTCTGGGATTTCCAAGGCTCAGAGAAAACTATGCCAGCCAGCAAGGTGAAGGATGTGGGAGAGAAGGCTCCTCAATTCTACTCCATTCAGAATACCTCTCTCCAGCAGGGATGACCCTGAGATGCTGCTACCCCTTCCAGACACTATTACAAAGTCAGAAGGCAGAGGCTGAGAATATACCCAAGACCTTTCAACAGAGTTCTCATCACAGCCTCCTCAGGGACTCCAAGAACAAACTCCAGTTGGTACTGCCAAATACAGGACAGTCAAGAGGACTTTCAAGGAAGACAAGAAGAAAACATGCTGCTTGTTTCAACATTAGCACCTGACATGTAGCCAAAGCATCATAAAGAAAAGTAGTAGAAGACTTCAAGAATATGTCTACAATGAAAATTGGTAGACAGAGAGTACTATAGTGATAATGAACATAGAATATGGTGCCAGGCCTACCTGGTCATAATCCACTCTGCCTCTTACTTACAATATAACTGTGGCATTTACCTAAACTCTGTGAGCCTCTGTGAGTTATTATGATTTCATAAAATAATGTTTATAGTATGCTATGCATAGAGCAAACACCAAATAAGTGATAGCTACCAATAAGAAGACCAATATAAAACAATGATTCTTAGAAGACAGCTATCTTGTTCACAGCCATAAAATGTTATCCTTGCGAAATCAAGATTTGTTATCATTTATTCTGCCCAATCTGCCAAAATAGGATATTTTTATTCACTGATCAAGCATTTATTCAAGCAAATTAATCAAACATAAAAAAATTTTGAATAATAAAACATAATATGTAGATTCAAAATAAAATCTGATACTTAAATGAGTATTTCTAAAGACTATGCAGGTGAATCTTTTTAAATTTTTCATAAAGTTATCTCTAAAATTATTTTCTTACTAACTTACCATTGCTTTTTATCATAAATGTCAGGGGATAGGAGAAACAATATGCCAGTCTGGGCCAGGCATGGTAGCTCATGCTTGTAATCCCAGCACTTTGGGAGGCTAAGGCAGGAGAACTGCTTGAGGCCAGGAGTTGAAGACCAGCCTGGGCAACAGAATAAGACCCATCTCTACAAAAAATTTAAAGATTAGCTGGGTATGGTGGTGAATGCCTGCAGTCCTAAGCTACTTGGGCAGCTGGGGCTGGAGGATCTAAGAGTTTCAGGCTACAGTGAGTTATGATTGTGCCACTGCACTCCAGCCTGGGTGACAGAGCAAGACCTTGTCTCTAAAGAATGAACAAATGAATGAATATTTTTAAATGCGAGTCTGAACATTTTTTATCTAAGTCAATTAAAATACTAGTCATTGAAATCAAACAATTGAACACTAACTGATGATATAGCATCTCTTAACAGTTCACATTTTCCGTGTAGCAGCAACCAAGGAACTTTTCTCTGCTATTGGCTACCCTAGTTTTCTTCTACCCTTCTTGAGCCATGGAATTTTTCCCGTAGTCCCCAACTTTACCCCCACTGCTTCTATCTTTGTGGCTTTGCCCTCTTTTATCGCCTAATAAGGCTGGATAGCACTTTGATTCCTCACCGTCTAACACACGGCACTTTAATTTTGAGGATAGAGAATGGCTAACATCAAGTATTCCTATAATTTATTAGGCTTACTGTATTGTATGCTGTGGTCACTTAAAAAGAGGACTACAATACTATATATAACACACTCAGAAATGTTGTATAAAGACCCTTTTTGAATTCATAAATCTTTTCTTATACAGCCAGATTATCATAAAATGTATGTGTGGGTCGAGCGCAGTGGCTCACGCCTGTAATCCCAGCACTTCGGGAGGCCAAGGCAGGTGGATCACCAGGTCAGGAGATCGAGACCATCCTGGCTAACACAGTGAAACCCCGTCTCTACTAAAAAATACAAAAAAATTTGCCAGGCGTGGTGGCGGGCGCCTGTAATCCCAGCTACTGAGGAGGCTGAGGCAGGAGAATGGCGTGAACCCGGGAGGCAGAGCTTGCAGTGAGCCGAGATTGCGCCACTGCACTCCAGCCTGAGGGACAGAGCAAGACTCCATCTCAAAAAAAAAAAAAAATGTATTTGTGATGTGCAAATGAAAGAGCATTTCCTGTGTCTAGTCAGTGGTATTCCCAATCTCTGCCTGCCCTTAAAAAAAGTCTGCACTGAAAACAATCAACAAAAATAAATGTTCCTCATTAGCAAATAATTCTTTGTTTTTCAGTGAGCAATGCTACCAAAATGACAAGTTAAGATTCTTGAATTGTTCAGTCCTTACATTTCAGTAAATGCATCAAATAGATGGTTTAACTTAGAGGGTTATTCCAGCAATTAGCCTGAGTTCCTCAAAATAATAAAAAATTATGAAAATTCAATTATTTTTATATACTTGCTAAAATAGAGGGAAAGGGCCATGCTCACCCTGAAACTAAGTTCTCCCTTTTAAGGGGAGGATGATAACATTAGTCACCAGCTTACAAAACTTATCAGAAGATTTGAAATGATCTAAAGGGGTCCTCCAAGACCATCCAGAAAAGGGACACTATTTATTTGAACAATTACTCAGTCACATTTTACTGTAAAAGTTACATCACAGGCTCTATATATTGGCCTGCACAGGATTCCCTTGTATGCCCAATGAAACAAAAACAACCCAGCTTCTGCTGCTGCTATTATAATTGGCTCTTTAGTCTTCCCTCCCAGTTAGCACATCTTCCCATGAAAGATATTGAACCTACTTGAAGTTGTCTAAAATCCTTTAGAAAAATACGGATTTTGGTGGAAGCAACCTGCCAATAATATTGAGCAAGCTAAATAAAGAAAAAGAGCTAAGCAAGGTTGGCCCGTATCCAAGCATTGAATGCACTGTCGATGTGGCAAGGCATCATCAAGTTCAAAAGATCATCTCCTCAGTCGCAGAAAAGCTAGGTTCAAAGTGAATGTTCCAAGGAAGCTAATTTCATGTTTGCATTTAATCTCCATATTAAAGAAACATCAGACAAGTGGTATTTAGAGGAACTCTACAGCTAAATCCAAGTTCTGGGACTCAAACTATGTTTACCTTTTGGGAGAATAGCCATTCGGGAGAATGAACAATAAATACAGATATATTTTTACAAAGGATATTACATTTCTCTACACTTTGCACTCCCAGAAGAAGAAAATAAGAGGATTCTGTTTCCTGACATACCATACTAGCCAAATTCATCAGTCATTGGAGATTATTCTATTCGATACATATTTCTTTAGGGACTGCCTGGCTCTCTTTCCCTTCTGGAATTCCAAATGTGCCAGACTGCAGCATCTTCTTCTCATCAAAGTATAAAACATTCCCGGACAGGTAAAATAGTCCCTGTCACATGACTTTTACCTTAGATATTTGTATTTCCTATGTAATTTTAATGTACCTATAAATCAAAAGCATCTACTAGAAGCGAAAAGTGGACCTGGGTTTTGCTGATATTTTGTGGTGCTAGATTTGGGGACTGTTACTGCATGTCTAAACATTTTACATCTTCAAGGTGGCTTGTATGTCGTCTGAATCTTACTAAACTGACAATGGCCACCATAGGACTAGATTTTTATGCAGAAAATTTTGACACTAACAGCAAAATGACTTTTATTGAAACAGGCATTCACACTGAAAAATGGGGATTGCACCAGGAAAAATTCTTGAGCAAAGCTTTCTAATACATACAGTTACTTGAGTCAATTAAGCCTACCCAATATTCTGCTTTCCAGTCTCTAGGTTTATCCACCTACCAGGTCTAGCCAACTTCAAAAGCCTGGTCCGATGGCCATTCCCAGGGTGTAAGCCAAGAGTAGGCCTTGCTGGGTATGACTCAGTAGGAAGCCATTACTATAGCAGCATATAATATTTTCACATACAAGCAGAAGAAAAGAGAACAGATTTTGTTTAATGATTTTTCCCAAGTTTTTAGGAAGAGGGAAAAAAGTAAATATAATTTTTATTCAGCCATACAGGAAAGGGAAACATTTACCCTAAAACCAAAGAAAGAAAAACAAAAGGTGGAACCTAGCCTTTATACCTTATCCTTTTCCACAAAGAATTGAGACATTTTACAGATAAGAGTAGAGAACACTGTAGAGGAAAATTTTAATGAAGTGACAAGTTGTACCAGGAATAAAGAATATAATTTAACCCACATAGCCACTGTGGCTAAGCACCATGCTTCTTCCCAACTGAATTAAAAGAGGTACAGGATAGTCAAGTAATTCTCAATATCAGTGAATAGGAAATATACTAGTACTTCAGTGGAAGCAAATATTTCCCTGCCACTAATCTTTAAGAAAATTGTATGTGAGACTTCTTGTGAGTACTCTAACTGAGGTGATAGAGAAGGTTTCTGATGACATCCTCAAGGCAAATGTGACAATAGATAGATTTTATAGGTATATCAATCATGGTTCTCCAAAGAAATAAATCCAATGGGAGATATACTTTCAAGGAATTGGTTCATGCCATTGTGGAGTCAAAATTTGCAAGGCAGTACTGCAGACTGGAAACTCGAGTAAGAGTTCATGATGTAGCTGTGAGTCTGAAATTTGTAAGGCAGACCAGAAGGCTGGAAACCCAGGCAGAATTTCTGTGTTATAGTCTTGGGGAAGATTTCATTTTTCTCCAGGAAACCTCAGTTTTTCGCTTTTAAGGCCTTCAACTGATTGAAAGAGGCTCACCCACGTTATCCAGAGTAATCTCCTTTACTTACATTCAACTGATTGTAAATATTAATCACATCTACAAAATGCCTTCACAGAAACATCTACACTAGTGTTTGACCAAACAACTGGGCACCAGAGCCTAGCCAAGCTGACACATAAAATTAACTATCACAATAGGCCTATATAGCTTCTAACAACATCTCATAAAATTTGAGGGCACACCAGCAGAAAGCAGTTGCATAAGAAGTCAAGGTAATTTGAGCTGCCACCATAAAGGATTGCTTAAATAAATTATAATATATCTATGCAATGAAACACTATGTAATCTGTAAATGGCATAATCTCAAGTAATGTTTAATAACAAAAGAAAACATTTCCGATTTAGTAATAAGTAAAAGAAACAGAATTTCTAAGTATATATAACATGAGCATAATCTCTATCATTATAAAATAAATAAGTTACTAATACATAGAATTAAGAAAGAGAATCTCTGAATCCCATAACTGAGTGTTTTATATTTTATGTTTTAAATAATTGGTGTAAATTACTTTTATAATTGAAAAATTTCTTTTTAAAAAATCACCAGTTTGAGATTATAAAATTTAAGATCCTAATACTGACTCGTGCTGAACAGCACATTTAACTCAGCCATTCAGAGCCTAGGTTTTCTACAAGTGTTCTTAGATCTAGATTAGACATGAATAAATAGTAGCCTTAAACAATAGCCTTAATGTTCTTTACCATATATGATCTCCAAAATTATTCAGTTTCAATTGTTTTCAAAGCTGGAGTTACCCATCACAGTAAAAGAAATTGCCAATATTGTTCTGAGGAAATGTCTGGTCTTGAGTAGGCCTCCAAGAAGCACTTTGATCCTTTAGCTACTGACTGGGATTCAGCAAGGCCACTTAGACAAGTTGCAGCATATCCAGGGCTAGGATAAATGAGTACTCTTTCCTATGCTCTACAGGCTCTTCCTGGGGAGGTGGGTGACTAGATGGTCTTCTCCCTTTCCACAGATCTGCTATCCTCCCTCCCATGTGGTACTTTATGGTGTGAGGGTCTTTTTAGGCCTAGGCTCCTCCCTTATGGAAGGCCAGCCTCCCAGGAAGGAATGGCACCCACGAATCAGGGTTTACATTTACTCCCTGTCATCCAGACCCTGGCACAGATGGAGGTAGGCAACCTCCACTGGAGCTAAGGCCTTTTGCTGATTTTTTCTGATTCATAGGACTCTATGGACTCCACAGCAGAGAGACTCCCAGAAGTAACTTTGGCAAGTGATGGCACACTATAAATTATAATAACCCATCCATTTGGATTGATTTGAGCCTGTCCACAAAGCACATTCACCCTCAAAATGTCTTCCCCTCTGATCTGCCCCATTAGCTGAAATTCTCATCAGGATTCACTTGTTTGGGTGAAGATACTATCTCCAGGATAACCATGTTAAAATGCAAACATATGACTCACAAGGGGAAACATGTTAATTTATCAGAATCTTCTGTACTTTGGAGAGGCAAAAGTAGGAAGTGGAGTGGTCTCCAAAACTGACCAAGACTTTAGAACTCCATTTATGTGCATCCCTAGCAGATCCATTTTAAAAAGCCCCACGCCAATGATAGATTTCCCATTGGTTCTCCTGTGATAGAGAGTGACTTTGAAAGGATAAATATTATTTTTCTCCCCCAAAAGCTCCAGCAACTCTGGAAAGATATCACCAGGGTTCACAATTTTACCCTTGCAAGAAGTAAGTTTCACCTAGATTTGACACCTTGGAAATCCTCCACCCGGTCTGTTTTTTCAGACGGTCAACTAGTGTTGGGTCCTTTTCAAGGAGTAAGATGCATGCCTCCTGCCATTTTACAATGTTCTCCTGTACTGGATTCCAGGAATCCCAGAGGGCACAGAAAGGGCACCATTGAGCAGTGCAGCTCCATTGTCTCCAAAGACTCACAAAGAAGCAACTCAGTGAGTTTTCTGGACTCAGTAACTGCTCACTGCATTTCAAAATGTTCTGGGTGAAGGCAGGTTCTACCACATGCCCTTCAAGTTTGACTGTTTTTACATTGTGGAACAGACCTAATTTTGCCATGGATAGAAACAATCTGCAGAAAATATCAAGTGAACTGGGTTTCTTAACATGAGATCATGCCAGGAATGGAAGCAGTTATTTCCTGTCTAAAAGGAGCCCAAGGCCTTCAAGACTTCAAGGGCACCATCTCAATCTTCTTAAAAACTGAGCTGCTTGAGGCCAAAGGAAAACCAAAGTACATTTCCAGTGGTACAAGATGATCATGATACCTACGAGGATAACTATAGGTAAAGAAGGACATCCTAGCCATGCCTTTTATCAAATGAGGTAGTATATGCATAAAAAGTACTTAAGAAATGAGTGCGGTAATTGTCTAAGAGCCTTAGCCTTAGTCAAAAGTCACACTGTCTGAACATTAGATATGGCTAATGTAAGGGAAGAATTTTGCTGCCATTATCTTTAAGAGAATTACTTTGAGACTATCCTTGGGCTTTTCCCCCAGCTCCTTTTTTTGCAGGGGGTGGGTAATGAAGTGTGCTATAGTTTGGGTGTTTTTCTTCTCCAAATCTCATGTTGAAATCTGATCCCCAATGTTGGAGGTGGGGCTTAATGGGAGATGTTTGTGTCAGGGGGGCAGATCCTTCATGAATAGCTCAGTGCCATCCTCAAAGTAATGAGTGAGTTCTTGCTTTATTAGTTCCCAAAACAGCCGATTGTTAAAAAGAGCCTGACACCTCCTTCCTGTCTATCTGGCTTCCTCTCTCTTGCCATGTGATCTCTGCACACACAGGTTCACGCTCCCCTTCCACCATTAGTGGAAGCAGTCTGAGGCTGTCACCAGAAGCAGATGTTGCCATGTTTCTTGTGCAGCCTGCAGAACTGTGAGCCAAATAAACCTCTTCTTTAGAAATTATCCAGCCTTAGTTATTCCTTTATAGCAACATGTGTTAGTCCGTTTTGCATGGCTATAAAGCAATACCTGAGACTAGGCAAGTTATTTTAAAAAGAGGTTTATTTGGCTTATGGTTCTGCAGGCTGTACAAGCATGGCACTGGCATCTGCTCAGCTTCTGGTGATGCATCAGGAAGCTTTTACTCATGGCAGAAGTTGAAGGGAGAGCCAGTATGTCACATAGTGAGAGAGGAAGCAAGGGAGATGCCAGGCTCTTTTAAACAACTAGCTCTTGTGTTAACTACTGTGGGGAGGGCACCAAGCCATTCATGAGGGATCTGCCCCATGACCCAAATACCTCCCCCAGGCCCCACCTCCAACATTGAGGATGACATTTCAACATGAGATTCAGAGGGGACAAATATCCAAATCATATCACAACACAAAACAGACTAAGACAAAGCACGACTACTCAATTGTGTCATCATTGGAGATACTCAAAATATGGAAAAGGGTAAATAGGGAGGATTCAAGCAAAAGGCTTGTATTAGTCCGTTCTCACACTACTATGACAAAATACCTGAGACTGGCTAATTTATAAAGGAAAGAGGTTTAATTGACTCACAGTGCTGCATGGCTGGGTAGGCCTCAGGAAACCTACAATCATGGTGGAAAGCAAAGGAGAAGTAGGCGCCTTCTTCACATGGTGGAAGGATGCAGTGAGTACAAGCAGGAGAAATGCCAGACACTTATAAAACCATCGCATCTCATGAGACTCACTCATTGTCATGAGACCAACATGGGGGAAACTGCCCCCATGATCCAATTACCTCTACCTGGTCCCACCCTTGACATGTGGGGATTATGGGGATTATAATTCAAGGTGAGATTAGGTGGAGACACAGCCAAACCATATCATTCTGCCCCTGGGCCCTCCAAGATCTCATGTCCTCACATTTCAAAACACAATCATGCCCTACCCAATAGTCCCCCAAAGTCTTAACTCATTTCAATATTAATTCAGAAGTCCACAGTCCAAAGTCTCATCTGACACAAGGCAAGTCCCTTCTACCCATGAGCCTGTTAAATCAAAAACAAGTTAGTTACTTCCAAGATACAATGAAAGTACAGGCATTGGATAAATGTTCCCTTTCCAAATGAGAGAAATTGGCCAAAACAAAGGGGCTACAGGCCCCATGCAAGTCTGAAACCAGGTGGGGCAGTCATTAAATTTTAAAAGCTCCAAAATGATCTCCTTTGACTCTATGCCTTACATCCAGGTCACGCTGATGCAAGAGGTGTGTTCCCATGGTCTTGGACATCTCTGCCCCTGTTGCTTTGCAGGGTACAGCCCCACTCCAGGTTGCTTTCACAGGGTGTTATTGAGTGTCTGCAGCTTTTCCAGGTGCACGGTGCAAGCTGTTGGTGGATCTGGGAGACAGTGGCCCTCTTCTCACAGCTCCATTAGGCAGTATCCCAGTGGGGACTCCATGTGGAGGCTCCAACCCCACATTTCCCTTCTGTACTGCCCTACCAGAGGTTCTCCATGAGTGCTCCACCCCTGAAGCAAACTTCTACCTGGACATCCAGGCATTTCCATACATCCTCTGAAATCTAGGCAGAGGTTCTCAAACCTCAATTCTTGACTTCTATGCACCCACTGGCACAACACCACGGGTAAGCTGCAAGGCTTGGGACTTGTACCCTCTGAAGCAACAGCCTGAGTTGTACATTGGCCACTTGTAGCCATGGCTGGGATGCAGGGCACCAAGTTCTGAGACTACACAAAGCAGCAAGGCCCTGGGCCTGGGCCTGGCCCACAAAACCATTTTTCCCTTCCTAGGCCTCCAGGCCTGTGATGGGAGGGGCTGCAATGAAGACCTCTGACATGCCCTAGAGACATTTTCCCCATCATCTTGGTGATTAACATTTGACTCCTCATTATGCAAATTTCTGCAGCTGGCTTGAATTTCTTCTCAGAAAATTGATTTTCCTTTTCTATTCCATTGTCAGCCTGCAAATTTTCTAAACTTTTATGTTCTGCATCCCTTTTAAATATAGGTTCCAATTCTAAACCATCTCTTCGTGAATGCATAAAACTGAATGCTTTTAACAGCACCCATGTCACTTCTTGAATGCTTTGCTGCTTAGATTTCTTCCACCAGATACCCTAAATCATCTCTTTGAAGTTCAAAGTTCCACAGATCTCTAGGACAGAGGGAAAATGCTACCAATCTCTTTGCTAAAACACAGCAAGAGTCACCTTCACTCCAGTTCTCAGCAAGTTCCTCATCTCCATCTGAGACCACCTCAGGTTGGACTTCATTGTCCATAACACTATCAGCATTTTGGTCAAAGCCATTCAGCAACTCTCTAGGAAGTTCCAAACTTTCCCACATTTTTCTGCCTTCTTTTGAGCCCTCCAAACTGTTTCAACCTCTGCCTGTTACCCAGTTGCAAATTTGCTTCCACATTTTTGCGTATCTGTATAGCAGCACCCCACTCCTGGTACAAATTTATTGTATTAATCCATTCTCACATTGCTGTGAAGAAATGCCAGAGACTGGGTAATTTATAAATGAAAGAGGTTTAATCGACTCACAGTTCTGCATGACCGGGGAGGGCTCAGGAAACTTAGAATCATGGTGGAAAGCAAAAGAGAAGCAGGCACCTTCTTCACAGGTGGCAGGATGAAGTGAGTGCAAGCAGGGAAAATGCCAGACACTTATGAAACCATCAGCTCTCATAAGACTCACTCATTATCATGAGTACAGTATGGGGGAAACTGCCACCATGATCCAATCACCCCCACTTGGTCTTTCCCTTTATATATGGGAATTATGGGGATCATAATTCAAGGTGGGACTTGGTTGGAGACACAGAGCCCAACTGTATCAAGGCTCAACAAGATGATGTCCTTTCAGAACACAAAGTTTTATGAGTCCAGCCAAAGGGAAGTGCGCAGCTGGAATGTGGTAAAGATGAGAAACATCACCTTCTTAATCAGTAAGCTGAAGAAATCCTGGGTTACAGTCTGTGAAACTGTGATATATGTATAATATATATATCTTCTTCCAGTTTCCTGGCACATAGTTCCTAAAACCCTTGGAATCTCTTATGTCAAAAGCATCGTTTGGTATGCTAATAAGAAGACTAGTGAGTGGGGCTGTGGGATAGCCTCAGGATGGGAGCCTCAGAGGAAGCAACCTTGTGATTAGAGAATTGGAATTTTCAGTTCTACCTCAGGGGCTGCAGGATAAATTTATCACTAATGGCCAATGATTTAATCATTGGCCTACATAATGAAGTCTCCACAAAAAAAGAGAGAGAGAGTTTGCAGCTAGCTGAACACATGGAGAGTGGCAAGCCTGGGGAGGGCACGGAAGCTTCATGCCTCTTCCTCCATACATTGCTCTACGCATCTCTTCCATCGGGCTGTTCCTGAGTTGTAGCCTTTTATAATAAATTAGAGATAGTAAGTAAAACACTTTCCTGAGTTCTGTGAGCCACTCTAGCAAATTATTGAACCCAAGAAGGGAGTTGCGAGACTTTCAATAGAAGCACAGGTTAACAACCTAGACTTTCAGTTGACGTCTGAAGTAGGGGGCAGTCTTGTGAGACTGAGCCCTTAACCTGTGAGATCTGTGCTAACTTCAGTTAGTGATAGAATTAAATTGAACTGTAGGACAACCAGCTGGTGTTGGAAAATTGCTTGGTGTGGGAAAAAGCCACACATCTGGTATAAAGGTGAAGTATTGAGAGTAGTGAGAAAAGAGAAAGTAGGAGAAAACAGTTTCTTTCTTCCTATTTTTAACATAGTCCAATAACGTGATTTTAAGAAAATAATGCAAACACTCCATGTCCTAGCTTTCTCACTTCTAAACAGAAGTGTTGCTTTCCTAGTCAGTTTGACTTTTGTAAAGACTAATCTTAATTCTTAATAAACTCTTAGGGTTGCTTAGAAATAAGCACTATATAAATAAAAGACATTGTACACCTGACATTTTAAAGTATACCTAGGACCCTGAGTATTTCACCATATCAGTTCGAGACATTCTATGAATTTGTGCCCATTGTGAACTTGTTATAAGCTGGTTACCTCCTTTACACAGACATTCTATCAACTTTTCTTTTTTGTCCTATTAATCGTCCATTGTCTCATTTTTCCTAAAATTGCCTGTGCAGCCTCCTTCCAGAGGCATATTCCATCAAGGTTTTTCTTGTAGCCATGCTGAACACTCAGTTATTTTAAATAATTTAGATACATAATTTTAAATATATTATAGTTTTGCTCCAGAATAAATGAGATTTAAATCTCTTTCTTTGTTCCCCAAATAAGAGTTCAAAAGCTAGATGGTCTTTTGGAGGCTCACCAACACCTAACGGTACTTATTTCTGTCTCACAAAATAAAACTTTGGCATCAGTCTTCTGGACATGCCACACAAAGCCACATTTGGTGGATAACCCCTGCATGACAGATAGTGAAAGGGCATGTTCCTCCCTGCCCAAGGGAGCCCAGGATTATCCTGCCTAATTGCCTACAATGTGTGGATCTCATTAGAAGAACTTGCCAGTGCTATACATAGTAAAGAATGTATGTCTGATAATATTTCAGTTAGGTTTGGACCAAGGCCAGGAGTCTCTCTGGCAGACTAAAACCACTTTACCAACACTTCACTTTTAGCAAGAAGACTCATGATAAGGAAACATAAACAAGACATCTGGGTCACATCCCCCCACTTCCTCTCCCACTCTTCTACTTCTTTTCAAGGGTTTAGAAATGTTCCCCAACAATTAGTCATGCCTTTTCTTCTACCTCAGTCTCTCTCCTGATATTTTTCACTAAGAAAGTTTGCTTCAAGGGCTTTAAAAATTCAGGGTCAATTTTTAGAATTTTTTTTTAAAGATTTGAATACCAGCAAAACTTCATCGGTTTAACCCTACAAATCCTCCCCTAACATAAAACAGCGTCTTTTAAAAAGAAAATTTTATTTAGAAAATACTTTATTAATGAAATTAAAGCCTGCATAATATAAATAATAGCAATGCTTGATTTAAAATAGTTTCCAGAAAAATGAATAAAAATCAAGTTTTCTATGTATTATTTTGTTTTGTTCCTTAATATGCTCAAGATTTGGGATTTACCAAAGCTAACAAGAGACAAAGCCACCAAATTTTGAGCCTGGTTTGCAATTCTACTTTAGCCAGTATTAAGTGGAGAGCCACGACTCATATGAATAATAGACCCATAAAGAATTAGAACTAGACATTACATAAGAAGACATCCTAACAACCCTCTTACTTTAGGGATGGAGACGTTAAGCATCTTAGAAGCAATCCCACAAGGGAGAAGCAGGCTCTGGTGCCAGACGCTGCTCCTTTGGGTGTTCACTAGACTTATATGACCATGAGCAAAATGCAGAACATCTGTAAGCCTCAGCCTCCTCATCAGCAGGATGGGCTGATCATCATGCATATCTCATGTGGGTCAGAAGGAATGAACAAGTTAACAAACTAAAACACTAAGCCTGGTACAGAATAGAAGCCAAATAAATGTTAGATTCCACCATTACTATAAGAGGCAGTGTTGAAGGAAGAACCAGAATAAGGGGAAAAAGTAAATAGGTTTTTTTCTGATTATCTTCCTCCAAGAATTGGCCATGAGTGGAGTAATGAGAACATTATTCAAAACATACAGTCCAGAAAAATATGTAGTGTAATATTAAAATTTTGATGTAAAACTGAGCTTCACCACATATTAGAGAGATAATAGGCCTAGTGGTTAAAAGCAAGGACTCTTGAGTTAGACAGCCGGATTCAAATCCCATCTCTGCCAGTTTCTGGCAATGTATCCTTAAACAAGTTGCCTAACATCTCCATTCCTCATTTATCTCCTCTGTAAAAGGGGATAATCATAGTACCTATTTCATGAGGTGGTTGTGAAAATGAATCAAGTTAATATTTGGAAAGCATCTAGCACAGTGTCTGTAGCAGTGTTGTAAATTATTAGCTATTATCATTATATTACAGGGCCATCTTGCACACCATCCAAGATATTTTTGTACTGGAAGCACCCAAAGAAACTTGTGCTACTAATTTTACTTCTAATGCTACCCAGAATCATTGACTCTGATGATGGGATTATACTGAGGTACCAGCATCAGATCCATTGCTCAAATTCTATCCTTAAAAATAATTAGAAGTAGATATTTTTGTACACTGAAATTTTTAAAAATGCGTAACTCTGACAAGCACTAGATTACTCAAATATAACAGTGTGGAAATAGAATTTTGACTCATCCATATCTTTGAAGTCAGTGCTAGTCAGCTTCTCTCCTGGCTCTGAGACAATCTTGATAGACTGTACAGCAGAGAGGACTTTCTATTTACTGGAACATGATCACCATTTTTGGTTTTGTTACTGCAAAATCATATCATTTTTAGAGCTTGAAGGGAGTGATAACCTAACCCAATCATTTTGTAGATGAGGAAACCCAGTTTAGAAAGGTAAAGTAGCTGGTCAACTTTACATTTTTTACATAAGCAGCTGGTGAATAATGAAGACAGTGGAGGGTAGTATTTTAAGAAAATTTGCCTTCCATCTCTTGTCATCAGAGAGAGTTCCAACTTCACACTATCAATATAATTAACAGGATCCATATTTTATAAATAAGTAGCTTAAATAGTAGCAATATTTCACCCAGTTGAACTTCAAATTACTTCAGATCAAAGTAATGCATCTTTTTGGATATCAGACTCTTGCTTAAAAATTTATGTACTTTAAAATTCCTATTACAGAGAACATAAACAGTACATTGAATTTGATCGGCCAGTGAAAAGTTAATCTCAAGGGGTAAATGTTTTACCTTTCAGGGCATTGGAGAACTAAATAATGAGCAATTTACTAAATTCCATCCTGGTCCTGAAATCATCTGTCTATGTCATACGGATTAGTAGCTTACTCTTACTCCTGAAGGGTCACCTTTATAAGGTAGAGGATCTTCTGAAGATAGTCATCACAACACAACACCTATGCATTCACCATGATTCGGATATACCAACCATTGCTTTCTTTTTTTTTTAACCTAAGGTTCAGAGTTGAGTGGGTTATATCTCTTAGTTCATGGTATATCACGATCCAATTTCATAAGGTATATGTCATGTTTTATTATCTTTATTGCTTTCCCCCTTTCTCTTCCTAACTCCCACTTCCCACTCACATCTCCCCTCCCTCTGCTCACATCTCCCCTCCCCTTAACCACTGCCAGGCATCCACTCTAATGTTTATAAACATAAGTGTATTTAGGTATAGTGATTGTTCATTTTAGGTATCAGCTTGACTGGATTAAGGGATATTCAGACAGGTAGTAAAGCATTATTTCTAGACATGTCTGTGAGGGTTTTCCGTAAGAGATTGATATTTGAATCAGTGGACTAAGGAAGATCTATCCATGTCACTTTAGGCACATCTAGATAATTAATTCTGAATGGTATAAAGATTTTATATATATTTATATATTATATATATATAATATGTAGATATATAGAAATCTATGCACCATTCATAGATTTCTTTCATCTCAAGTGCCTGCAAGATGAAACATTTATTATATATATGTATATATACCTATGTACCATTCTGAATTAATTATCTAGATGTACATAAAGCAACATGGCTAGATCTTGGAGATATATATCTATAGACAGAGATGATAGATAGATAGATAGATAGATAGATAGATAGATAGATAGATAGACAGACAGACAGAGTATGCATCTGTGTGTGTTGCACAATTAACTACTCCTTTCCACCAGTGATGGACACTTAATTTCTTCCAACTTTCTGCCTTCCCAAATAGAGCACCAATAAATATACTAATACATGTTCCTTATAGTCTTGTGTCAGAGTGGCTCTAGGGTGTACACCCAGCAGTGGGAATACTGGGTGTCCATGTATATGACCTGGTTTCTCTAAGGACTGCCAGATTCCTCCCCACAATTTCTGTTCTAGCTCAGACTTCCACTAACAGTGCAAGAGAGTTTCCCAACTTCCTCACCAACAGTTGGTATTATCTGACTTTCTGATGTTCATCTAATGAGTGTTAGAGTATTATTGGTCCTATTCTAGTTCACCAGTTCTCTGAAATGTTTGAGACTCCTCCTTTTTGTTCAGGAAGATTTCTAGATTCTATGCATGCTTTGCCCAGGCCCTGGGCAACTAGAAATGTTAACTTAGAATCATCTACGTAGATTCTTCCCTCAAAAACTGCTCTAGCGTTTCCATTTAGTGTAGAGTCATGTGGCCCTTATAGGCTTTCATTCTCCATTTTAGAAGACAGGGGAATTCCAAGGTCTCCTAAAACCTTTCTGGATGTTTCTACTTACCCTATGGGAATTTTCATCACAATGCATGGAGTCAGTACACTAGTCCTGAGTTCTTGCCCTTCTCCCTCCCTCCTTCTCTTCTTTCCTTCCTCCCATTTTCTCCTTCCCCTTTGCCACCTAAAATTTGAAGTTTTTTCAACTTCTCCCTTTTGATTGACAAGACCTATCTCCCGTCTTTATCCTTCCCCTCTGTCAGGTGGCATTCTTCCGTTTTTCCCTAGGACAATAACAAAGGAAAGGTGGGAGGTTAGGGGCAGACTGAATTACAAGTGGAAAGTATACTGGAAAATACTGTCTGCATGTACTTAACATTCAATATTATATTAGTTTGTTCTCACACTGCTATAAAGAAATACCTGTGACTAGGTAATTTATAAAGAAAAGAGGTTTAATTGGCTCACAGTTCTGTAGGCTATAAAGGAAGCATAGCACCTTCTGCTTCCGGGGAGACCTCAGGAAACTTACAATCCTGGTAGAAAGTGAGGAAGCAGGCACATCTTACATGGCCCAAGCAAGAGCAAGAGAGAGAGCAAAGGGGAGGTGCTGCACACTTTTAAACAAACAGATCTCATGAGAACTCACTCACTATCATGAGGACAGCACCAGGAGATGGTGCTAAACCATTCATGAAGGACCACCCCATGATCCAATCACCTTCCACATGCCCCATCTCCAACACTGGGATTACATGTCAACATGAGATTTGGTGGGGACATAGATTGAAATCATATCATATATGAATAACACTTTAACCTTTCCAAAGCACGTTTACGTACCATTTGACTCTTTCAAAAACCTGTATAGAGAAGTTATTACCATTTGTAGACAAAAACAGAAGCCAAGACTAAGAAAAATGAAAGACTTTTGTGCAATATTAAGATAGCCCACAGATAACCTATTTTAGAAGATTTTATGTGTCTTTTACAACTTTCCTCACAAGGATATCAGGAAGCCTTTTTAGAACAGCAAAATCTCCCCATTTTCTCTTTTATAGATTTGGTCATCTGAGCTTAAAGGAGATTCTGGCAGAAAAATGAAGACTATTTTGTCTCTGCTTTGAAGCAGCAACTTGAGGTTGCTCTTAAGCATTTACAAAAACCTGAGTTCTTATTCCATGACTGGCAATACTCTTTAAACTATAATTATTACACTAATATTAGCAACCAAACAGTTAGCTACTCATTTTTCAGTCTACATTGTGCTTATTAAATTATACCTTACTTTGACATCGATTGTGGATTTGATTAGTTATGTGGGGCAATCATTTTAAACGTTTAATTTTCTGGATGTAGACTTACACACACAGTTTAATCAAGTAATTGTGCCTATTTCTCAGTAATTTAAACTTCACATTTTTGCTTTCTTAAAATCTGAAAAGTAGCGTACTTTTTCTACCTATTTCTATAACCAAAAAAAAAAAAAGTTAAATTCACTTAGAAAACACTTTTCTCTTTCCCAAGTGAGCATTTTCTGCTAGATGGTCAACAAAGATCATCTCTGCTTGAAGGGAGGTGATTTGGGTTAGTGAAAAGAGACAGATCTTGTTACGAACCCTGTCTCTGTACAACCTACCAGCTGTGTGGCCTTTAGGCAAGCTATTTGATATGGTTTGGCTGTGTCCCCACCCAAATCTCGTCTTAAATTGTAGCCCCCATAATTCCCACACGTTGTGGGAGGGACCAGGTGGGAGGTAACCTCATGGGGGCAGATCTTTCCTATGCTGTTCTCATGCGAGTGAATAAGTCTCATGAGATCTGATGGTTTTATAAAGGGTAGTTACCCTACACAAGCTCTCTTGCCTACCACCATGTAAGACATGGCTTTGTTCCTCCTTTACCTTCCACCATGATTGTGAGGCCTCCCCAGCCATGTGAAACTGAGTCCATTAAACCTCTTTTTCTTTATAAATTACCCAGTCTTGAGTATGTCTTTATTAGCAGCATGAGAACGAACTAATACACTATTTTATTCCCAACCTCAGTTTTCACTCTATAATATGGGAATAATACCTATGCTCAAGGCCTAATGTGAGGAATAAATAAAGTTATGTATTTACAATGCCTGGCATCCAGAAAGCACTAAAAATGATAGTTTTCTTTTTTATTTTTCTCTTAGAAAAATAAACAGATTTATGATAGGCATTACTAGTAGTATACCAGAAAATCTACAGTAAAAATACTGCAGAGATAGAATTACTTCACCTTTGGACTGAATGACAGAATCAGGCATTTGCATGCCTTGTTGTCCAAGCATGCGGCTTAGTTTTGCCCTTTGCACACAATAGGAATCTCACATGCTGGATAAAAATGCATTACTAAACAAATGTACACTCTACGTAAGCCTAAACATAAGTGATTAATACACAGCAAATGTCGTTCAGATGAATTGTTTCAATCAAATAAAAATATATCTGGAGCAAAGCCTCATTCCTCTTTATGCTCTGGGTGTTTCTTGCCTACACAAAATACCTTTTGAAGTCAAAGAGGGTGCCTCATATGGATGTCTTATAGGATGGGATACCTAAGGAGAGAAGAATTATGAGATTAAATACTAGACCTGTGTGTGTTTTGTTTTGTTTTAAGGAATTAGCAGGTATTCCATGCAAACATTGTTTCTTACAGGGCTGAGAACCGGGTTTTATAGTTACCCTAAAGAGCAAAACCCAAAGACTCCACATAAGTATTATGCAATGCCCCTTTATCTGCAGGTGGTCTTCCTCAATGTGACCTTACTTTATTCAAACATATTAAACTGTTTTAGAATTGTTTTTGTCCATAACTTATATAATATATCCTCTCAGAAAAAAAAAATCCTACATTGAGTAGACAAAAAATAGCATCTCACTTTCATTCCAAGAAAATAGGAGTAGACAAATCCGGGTTAGTAATTAACAAAAATAAAAGCTTCCCTCAACAGCTGTTCACACCCCTGCCCCATTCTAGAGAGCACAGGCAGAACAGGCCCAAGAGGAAAGATAAAACAGCTTAAGCTGGATTTAAAATAGTGTGCAGCAATGTTTAAGGCTTTTTCTCTCTCCAGCCAGAAAGCAGTTGGCAGAAAAGGGAAACAAACCCAACATATATAGTCAAGCACAAATGTGTTTATTGAAGGTCCTCAGAACATTCCACTACACCCCTGGGAAGCCCTACTAAAGCATGATGAGCCATAAAGCCTATGCTCAGAACACTACTAGTTTTCCCAACTGGGCTACATCTTTTCAGCTTCTCAGCTCTGGGCAGGTGGGTGAGCAGCTTACTACAAATCTGCCTTGAATTACCCATAGATTTGTAACCAAATCCAGGCTGGGCTATACCATAGCTATATGACAACATATTAAGTTACACCTAATGAACGGGGCTTCCCTTTTATATATGATCCGAGTGTTTCGCAATTTAGATCCAGGAGATTGCTGAGTGTATAACAAAATGTAGTGAGTGGGCAGAAAACAACGGTCAGAATCCAAAATGAATATTAGGACAGGGTGGCTGAGGTGACTGGAAGATATACATCAGTAGAATAAAGGAGTGATATGGATGAGAAAGAAGAGATGAAAGGATATTGTCATAGTGATTATACCTGAAAGAAAATCTTTTAAATAAGAGTTTTCAAATGTTACTTTCAAGGCCAAAAAGGATGAAAATTATCCCAATAGCTATAATTTATCACTGCCATGTGCCAGGTGCTTTTCTAAGACGCATTACATATATTAATGTACTTTGTCCCCACAACAACCCTGTGAAAGGAAAACCATTATTATCATACCACTTCTACAGACAAGGAAACTGAGGCACAGAGAAGTGAAGGTCACACAGCTAGTAAATAGCAGAACCAGCTAAAGACGCAGTTAGTTGTGCCCAGAGCCCACTTTCTTGAAGACTTCACACACTGCCTTTCAATAAGCAAAGCTAGGGACCTACAATTCTTGGCTTAGCCCATGTATTAATAACACATGCCTGTGTCTGGGTCTCTTAGTTACACAAGGAAGCAAGGACCCCAGGGTCGCATGGTGGTCCTCCCTAAACTCCCAGCTTCTGAACATCACCCCATCACCACACACAGGAGGAAACAAGCTCTTTTTCAGGCCGAGGTGGGTATAAGGTATGGTTTATGAAAAGGTCCTATTTGGTCCTTTCTGTTTGACCCACTATTAAGCTTCCATAAAGCTTCCTAGTAAAAGAAAAGCTTCCATAATGAGAAATTCCCCATGAGGGCAAACCTGTCATTCTCTCAGGCCAGATCGTCATGGAAACTTTTATGAAGAGGAGCCCAACACTCAGGTCTTCAGGCAGCAAAAGACTCCATGCAGTTGTTCCATTGTAAAATTATACCAATTTATTCATTGCAACAAGTGAGGCAATGGCACGAGTTTCTTTTACTGATGAACAGAATTAAAACATAATGAGAGGAACACAGTCAGAATTTAATTCGTCCAACCTCACGCCACTCAGCTAGCCCACGTCCTGCAGTCTTCCAACAGCCCAAACAATGCATTTGAAAAATAGGAATCATTGGACCAGAATTATAAAATAATTTTGAGTTGGAAAAAATGCATTACTCTTTAAAATAATACTCAGACATCTTAGTAAAAATAATAATAGTCTTATATTCTAAAACAGAGTCAGCAAACTATAGCACTTGCACCAAATCTGGCTTGCAACTCAAAGCTAAACATGATTTTTGCATTTTTACATGGTTTTAAAAAACAATCAAAGGAAGAATGGGATATTAAGACATGTTAAAATTCTATGAAATGTAATACATAATGCATGTAATACATACTGTTTTATTCGAACATAGACACGCTCATTCATTTACTTATTGTCTCTGGCTGCTTGCACGCTACAAAGGCTCACAGTCTAAAATATTTACTATCTGGCTCTTTATAGAAAAAGTTTGTGGACCCCTTTCTAAAGTGATAAATGATAAATATATTGCCCTGACAAATTTCTCACTGACGAATTGTGGAATTGTGGTTTTTAATTATTAGAAAATAGTGAAGAATTTTGTGACTTATCTCAGTAATTAATTTCTAAAAAACCAATTCTAAATAGACATTGCAGCTTATTACTCATTCTAACGGTAAGTTGCAAGTCCTTAATTGTTCCAAGGGGTGTGTTTTCTCTTACACTAAAATGATGTATGACTGATACAAACCAGGAAATTTCTTCAAACGCCTGAGTGAAACAAAGCAGAAAACATCCCATGCACATGCATATTCACTTGGCAGGAACATTTTCCTGCTTAGCTTGAAACCAAAACAATGAAAGCTAGTAAAGACAGAGCACGTGGACTTCTGTTACTGCCTCTTGCTTATTCCAGAATCCTTAATCCACAGAAATTTTTTGTGTAGCTTTTCATTAAGCATTTCAAAAGGAAAACAGGGGAATGGACTTCTTTTGAAAATGTATGATTTGTTGTTCTTTATGACCACCCTTTGACAGTGGCTAAGTCGTGTATTTATATTTCTCTTTTAAAAAAGGAATATGTCACAGGATTTTACTGTCTTTCTGACCTTTTATATTTCTTGTGCTCAATATATACTTGTAATGTCCTGCAGTCTGCAGATCCACTCTGATTCTCATCCATGCTGTTCCCAAAACACATGCCTCTAGAATTCTTCCAAATGTGGCATTGTCATTTACTTCGAAAGTTGCTCCCTAAGCAAAGGCTGGAAAAATATAAAACGGACTCACCAATTATTATTATTCAGGCAACTCCTAGGACTTTATAAATGTGCTGTAATAAATTAACTTTGTTATCTCCCTGAGTTACGTAGAAGTTTTAGTTGTATTCAAATGCTAAACTAAGCCCCACATTCTTCATGGGGGGTAGTGGCAAGAAAGAAGTCCTCCACTGAGGGCCTGGGAATATGTGGTGCAGTCTCAGGTCCTCTGTGTACGCACTCTATAAACTGTGGAAAAGTATGGAAACATTGCCATAGTTTGAACATGTATGAACAAAATATGAATTAGGACCTTGGATAATATGTTCTACTCTTATGTCAAATTCACATTGTTCAAATATGCTCTACCGTTTTGCAGAATTCTATGGAGACATCTTTCTTGTGATCTTAATCAGAAAATAATTTATGACTCATAGATCCCAAAGACTCCTTTAGACAAGTTTGGGAAGCTGTGCTGAAGCTCAATCAACATCTTTAAAAGCTGTTCTAAAACATAGTTACGAGGAAATGCAATATATTTTTCCCAAACAAAATAAAAAATTTTTGTCTCTCCCATTCAACCACTTCAAGGGATATTTACTTTAGTCCAGAAATATATTAGTTAATTTTTATAAGCAGTTTTTAAAAGAAATAGGCCTGTAAGAAAATTTATTTAGCCAACAAAAATTTTTCCTGGTTCTACTTGAGGTACTAATGCCACTGTTTGCCTTTGCTAGTCGTTACCAGCTCTATCTGAGTCAAAGAAGAGAAATATCTCTCTACCACAAATCCCAAAAGGAATAAAAAGTGGGGAGAGGCAGAACATATTTAATTAGGCCTAGGCCTGTTGCCTGATTTTCATTAGGCCCCTGCCTGACTCTGATTTGGCCCACTATAAGTCCTTTTAGGCCACTGGGCATGAAGGCCAGTGCTTATTTTCATGGCTGTTTCAATTCATCAAGAAAATCCTTTGAAAGATGAAAGACACTCCACATTTTTTCACCTGTTGTTCTTTCTTATGTGCCTGTCACTTCACTCGCCAAACTCGCTTCAAGCCAAACCAAATGCTTTCCAAACCTCTACAGTATGCCTTTGAAGATCTTAAGTTAAGTATTTTCTTATGCTGACCAGTATAGCTTCCAAATAAGGAATAAAAAAATAACGTAGTTCTTAAGTTATTTTTTTTAAAAATACCAGAAATGTAAAAACACATTCCAGTAAGTGGATAAAAGCAAAATTCCACTTCCCCAAGTTTAGAAGTCTTGAGCCAAATACACCTGATGTTCATTACCACACCCACAGCACATTGCTAATGTATGACAAAGTTCCAGCAAAGACCATATGCTGTTTTTATTATTGCCACTTCACAAGTTTTCCCAGGCTCACTAGAAAAAGTATTCTACAAGACCAGCCCACTGAGTGGGCTCATCTTACTACACTGATGAAATTTAGTCTGTTATTTACCTGATTAGCAATAAATATCTCTCTTTATTGCCAACAACACAGCAATTAGGGCCCTAATCTGTCACCACTACCTTCAAGTTTTGGCTTTCATCAAAAGAAAAGGAATTTGCCAAGAAGGAAAAGCACAGCTCTACCTTCAAGCTAAAAATAGTTCTGTCTTCTAGACAATATACACTTTCACACGGCTCCAGCAAACCTTGCTTCAAGCAGCCTACAAAGGATATATCAGGAGAAGTACACAATAGTCCCTAGTTTTAGGTACTGGTTTAGCCAAAAGATGCAAACAGGCAAAAGCTGATACAGAAAAGCCAACCCGGGTGATATAAGAGGAAATGAAATCTCTAATCCATTGATACTTTTTGAGGGGATCAAAAATAGATAAAACAAAACCACTGCACATATAGTCAATGTATCTAAATTTCCAGAAACTTTTTATAAGCCTGTCTACCAAAGGCTTTATTAAAAAGTTGTTATGAAGGTTACATTACATATTTATTCTTAGGCAGAAAACCAACTAAAAAACAAAGAACAAAGTAGAGGCAATTCCCTAGGTGGATCCTATTTAGCATCGCCATAGACTATCTAAAAGATGACAGTGATGATTGCCATTACCATTATAATTACTTATTATAATTATTTCATGTCCTATATGCTATACCAAGCACTTTATGTACATAATCATTAGGTAGGTAATATTATCTTTATTTTACAGAAGAATCTGAGGTTCTGAGATGTTAGGTAACTTGTCCAAAGACACACTGTTAGCAAGTGATGCCAAACTGAGGGTAATCAATTAAACTAATTCACCAGTAAATTCATTTTTCTGAAGTTTTCACAATGACGAAGTCATTTATTTATTTATTTATGAGACAGGGTCTCACTCTGTCATCCAGGCTGGAGTGCATTGGCACAATCACGGCTCATTGCAGCCTCGACCTCCCAGGCTCAAGCAATCCTCCCACCTCAGCATCCCTAGTAGCTGGGACAACAGGTGCATACCACCATGCCTGGCAATTTTTTTTTTTTTTTTTTTTTTGTAGAAATGATGTCTCCCTGTATTGCCCAAGCTGGTCACAAACTCCTGGACTCAAGCAATCCTCTCTCCTCAGCCTCCCAAAGTGCTTGGATTACAGGAGTAAGCCACCATACCTGGCTGACAGAGTCATTTAGATATCTGTTAATGTTTTTTTTTAATCACATGAATTTATTTATATAAGGCCTAGCAAATAAGAAAGAAGTAATGGTTCCCTTACCTCAAGGGGACTAGAAATTTGTCAGGGATCAGTTCAATTCTTTCTCACTCTTGATGTGTATCAAATGTGAGAAAAGTTAATTCATTCAATGGATATCTAGTATAAGTACCTACTATGGACCAGGCAGTATATGTATATCCTAAACTTGATTGTGGAAAAGAAATTAAATGATTTGTCCATATCTACCAGAATGCTCCATCTGCAGCTCAAGTTTGCCCAGTTCTCATCAGCCTATGGGAACAAATAAGGTCGCATTAATCAGCTAACCCAGATTTCATGGCTTTCCGTGGGATGCAGCCATCAATCAAGTACTGTCCAAGTAGCTCTGGTAAATCCCTGGGTGCATCTCACCTGTGATAATGAACAAGACTTGTCAGATACCATGTGGCTTCCAATTCCTCTTGCCCTTTTCCAACCCTCTCCATGGACATTGTTGGAACTGGAAGATAAGCCCTTTCTCTTTAGATTGTATTACATTCTGTTAGAGAGATCTCCAAGTAATCTTACTGGTACTTCCAGTGTCCAACAGTTTGAGCAAAATAACTCATTTAGTATTCATTTATAGCTTTACCCTCAACTCTCTGAAAGACTGAGACACGATCTAAAGGGAGGCCAGAAATGGAGACAAACCTGAGTCATAGACACCACACCATTCTCAGAATAGCCTCCCTCCTCTGATTAACAAGGCTTGTTACTGGATCTAGCTGTCACCCCTAACTTCCTCACCCCTTATAATAATTATCTCCCAGGATGATCTTAAATCCTTTTACAAACAGACTTCTGACAGGCTCTGCCCACCAGTAATTATAACATGTTCAGAACATGGCTGAACATCAGTGGGAGCCACTGTGTAGGTTTATTGCCATGTTCAAACACCCACTCCCCAACACATACACCCTTTACTAAGAAACAAACACTTTGAGGGTGAAAGGGGGTGCTAAAGATGAAATTAAATTATCCTTGCATTCTGATATGGCTTATTTGGGAGCTTTGATGGGCAGTCAGGATAGAGCATACTTTCTGGGTAGATAGACCACCAAGAGACAATGATCAGGGTCAATACAAGAACAGCCTGTGTAGAATTACAAGGATAAATTAAGTTCAGGCAGATTGGCTCTAAATGGAGTTTTAGTGGATGAACAGGAATTATCCACAAAAAGCACAAAGCATTACAGATCTATTTTCATGGCCACTAACAGAGTATAACTTTAGGGAGTGTAAGTCCAACTTCCTCATATCTGAAAACAACAGTCTTCTGACACAGACAGTTGGTGCCTCACCCATATTCCCTGACCCACTCCTATAGCATTGGTTGCCTATTGCTTTGGCAGACAGTCCACTTCACAAACCAATGAGTTCCTACCTCAACCATTTGTGTCTCTTTGACTCTGGACTTCCTCTGCCTGAAGAGCATGTGCTGCCCATATCCAGGTAGGCCATAAATAGTGGGGAGTTAATTCCTCCAGACACAAACTTCAACCCATAAAAGATGGAAAATGGTAAATAAATGCCCTAGCTTCCTTACCCCTTGTAGCAACTACAGTTTCTTAGAGGGTCTCCAGCAGGATTGAGTCCCAGGTACCCATGGTGGTAACCACTCCTGAATGCACTCTCTGTTGAGTTTTCACATGTCTCCAGCCCATAATCCTACTCCTTCATGGTGCTTCCAGGGACCCCTTCAAAAATAAACTACTTGCCCCCAAATCCTTGTTTCAGGGTCTGATTCAGAGAGAATCCAAACTAAGACATTTTTTTTTCTATAAGAATTCTCTCAAATATGAATTAACCCACTGTGCTTCTCCACAATAAAACAAAGAGTTTTAAAGAAAGGAAAACTAATTTCAGAAGCTTGAGAACCTTACCTGTACCCAACTTCATCATCTAAAAAGTGACTTAAGTTCAAGGCTAAAAGAAACACAAAAGCTTCCAGGCAGGTTCCCATTGCAGAGAAGAAAGCTTGAGTTTCTCAGGGCAGGTAAAGGGAGAGAAAGAGGAACCTCTTCTTCTCAATTTTATCCTCACTTTGAATGCAATGCAAACAAAAGACACAAAATAAAGGTCACCTCTGAGAAGAGCATTACAAACAAATCTGAGAACATAATTCGACTTTTCAAAATCAAACTATAGGGCAGGGCCAAGATGGCCAACTAGAAGCAGTGGCGATCCAAGTTTCCCATCAAAAAGAACCAAAACAGCATCTGAATCCTGTATAGCAACTGAGGTATCCAGGTTCTGTCATCAGGACTGACTAGGCAGCTGGCGTGACCCACAGAGAGGAAGGAAGAGCAGTGTGGTGCAGCAGCCCACCTTAGAGCCACATGGGGAAGGGCAACCCCCATCCCCAGCCAAAGAAGGCGGTGAGTGAGTATGCTACCCAGCCTGGGAAACCATGCTTTTTCCATGGAACCGTGCAACCCACACATTGGAAGATCACACTCGTAAGCCCATCACCAGGGCCTTGGATCCCAATCATGGAGTCATGCAGATTCTCAACACCCACTTGGCTGGAATCTGGCTAAGCCTGGCGAGTTCCTGGAGGGAGGGGCAGCCATCACCACAGCTGCAGGGGCCTGTTGTCTAGGCCACCTGAGCTCCTTGGGGGAAGCGTGGCAGCCATCACTGCAGCTGCTAGCCACCTAACACACTAAGCTCCAGAGGGGGTAAGGGCAGCACCCATCACTATAGCTCCAGGCTGTGTTTTCCCCTGCTGGAGCCAGGGAGGCTGGATAGCTTGGTCCCAAGAGGTATTACCCCAAGCCCAGCACATCAGCTGTGGCAAACCACAGCCAGACTGCTTCTTCAGTATAGACCCTGACCCATCCCTCCTGACTGGGTGGGGCCACCCTACAGGAACTCCAGCCAGGGGCTCAGGGGTAGAACTCTGATCTCCCTGGGCCTGAGCCCCTATGGGGAGGGTGGCCATAATCTCCATGGACCAACAGACTTAGTCTTTCCTCCTACTAGCTCTGAAGAATCTGGGCGTCCAGATGCATGGGTTTCCCCCCAGAGCAGCACACCCCCTCCACCAAAGGATAGCCAAAGTACTTCATTAAATGGGTCCTGTTTCCCATGCCAAGTGGGTGAGACCCCCCAAAAGAGGTTGTCAGATGCCCTATACAGAAGCATTCCTACTGGCATCAGGTGGGTGCCACTCAAGGTCAGAGATCCCAGAGGAAACAGCAGACATCCATCTTTGCTGTTCTCCAATCTCCTCAAGTGACGTTTCTAGGCATGGGAGCATATTAATAGGGCCTGAAGTGAACCCCCAGCAAACCACAGTAGCCCTACAGAAGAGGGACCTGACTATAGAAAGAAAAACAAAAAAGCAGAAAGCAACACAACAGCATCAACAAAAAAAGTCCCCACAAAAACCTCATCCAGGCCGGGCGCGGTGGCTCACGCCTGTAATCCCAGCACTTTGGGAGGCCGAGGCGGGCGGATCATGAGGTCAGGAGATTGAGACCATCCTGGCTAACACAGTGAAACCCCGTCTCTACTAAAAAATACAAAAAATTAGCCAGGCGTGGTGGCGGGCACCTGTAGTCCCAGCTACGTGGGAGGCTGAGGCAGGAGAATGGCGTGAACCCGGGAGGCGGAGCTTGCAGTGAGCCGAGATCGCGCCACTGCACTCCAGCCTGGGCGACAGAGCGAGACTCCGTCTCAAAAAAAAAAAAAAAAAAAAAAAAAAAAAACACCTCATCCAAGGGTCAGCAGCCTCAAAGATTGAAACTAGAAAAACTCATGATGATGAGAAAGAATTTAAAAAAAAAAAAACCACCACTGAAAAACCCAAAGGCCAGAGTGACTCTTCTCCTCCAAATGATCGTGACACCTTTACAGTAAGGGCAAAGAACTGGACAGAGGATGAGATGGACAAATTGACAGAAGTAGGCTACAGAAGGTGGGAAATAACAAACTTCACTGAGCTAAAGGAGCTTGTTCTAAGCCAATGCAAAGAAGCTAAGAATGATGATAAAAGGTTACAGGAGCTACTAACTAGAAAAACCAGTTTAGAAAGGAACATAAATGACTTAATGGAACTAAAAAACACAGCATGAGAACTTCATGAAGCACACACAAGATAGCTGAATCAATCAAGGAGAAGACAGAATATCAGAGATTGAAGATTATCTTGCTAAAATAAGGCAGGCAGACAAGATTAGAGAAAAAAGAATGAAAAGGAATGAACAAAACCTCCGAGAACTATGGGACTATGTAAAAAGACTGAACCTATGACTGAGTGGAGTACCTGAAAGAGATGGGGAGAATGGAAGCAAGTTGGAAAACACACTTAAGAATATTATCCAGGAGAACTTCTCCAACATAGCAAGACAGGCCAACATTCAAATTTAGGAAATATAGAGAACCCTACTAAGATACTCTATGAGATGATCAACCCTAAGACACATAATCATCAGATTCTCCAAGTTGAGGTGAAGGAAAAAATGTTAAGAGCAGCTAGAGAAAAAGGTCAGGTTACCTACCAAGGGAAGCCCATCAGACTAACAGCAGATCTCTCAGCAGAAACCCTACAAGCTAGAAGAGATTTGGGGCCAATATACAAGATTCTTAAAGAAAAGAATTTTCAACCCAGAATATCATATCCAGCAAAACTAAGCTTCATAAGTGAAGGAGAAATAAAATCCTTTTCAGACAAGCAAATGCTGAGGGAATTCGTCACCACCAGGCCTGCCTTGCAAGGGCCCCTGAAGGAAGCACTAAATATGGAAAGGAAAACTGGTACTAACCACTGCAAAAACACACCAAAATATAAAGGCCAATGACACTATGAAGAAACTGCATCAACTAGTGTGCAAAATAACCAGCTAGCATTATGATGACAGGATCAAATTCATAAGTAACAATATTAACTTTAAATCTAAATGGGCTAAATGCCCCAATTAAAAGACACAGAATGGCAAATTGGATAAGGAGTCAAGACCCATCGGTGTGCTGTATTCAAGAGACCCATAACCCATACAAAGACACAAATAGGCTCAAAATAAAGGGATGGAGGAATATTTACTAAGCAAATGGAAAGCAAAAGAAAGCAGGGGTTGCAATCCTAGTTTCTGACAAAACAGACTTTAAACCAACAAATATCAAAAAAGACAAAAGTGGCCAGGCACGGTGGCACAAGCCTGTAATCCCAACACTTTGGGAGGCTGAGGCAGGTGGATCACAAGGTCAGGAGATCGAGACCATCCTGGCTAACACGGTGAAACCCCATCTCTATTAAAAACACAAAAAAATTAGCCAGGCGTGGTGGCAGGAGCCTGTAGTCCCAGCTACTCGGCAGGCTGAGGCAGGAGAATGGCATGAACCCGGGGGGCAAAGCTTGCAGTGAGCTGAGATTGCACCACTGCACTCCAGCCTGGGTGACAGAGTGAGACTCCATCTCAAAAAAAAAAAAAAAAAAAAAAAAAAAAAAAAAAAAAAAAGACAAAAGCATTAAATAATAGTAAAGGGATCAATTCAACAAGAGGAGCTAACTATCCTAAGTATATATGCACCCAATACAGGAGCATCCAGATTAATAAAACAAGTTCATAGATACCTACAAAGAGACTTAGACTCCCACACAATAATAGTGGGAGACTTTAACACCCCACTGTCAATATTAGACAAATCAATGAGGCAGAAAATTAACAAGAATATTCAGAAATTGAACTCAACTCTGGATCAAGTGGCCCTAATAAATATCTACAGAACTCTCCCCCTCCAAACAAAAGACTATACATTCTTCTCAGTGCCACATGGCACTTACTCTAAAATCGACCACATAATTGGAAGTAAAACACCCCTCAGCAAATGAAAAAAGGAAGGAAATCATAACAAACAGTCTCTCAGACCACAGTGCAATCCAATTAGAACTCAAGATTAAGAAATTCCCTCAAAACCACACAACTACATGGAAATTGAACAACCTGCTCCTGAATGACTCCTGTGTAAATAATGAAATTTAGGCAGAAATCAAGAATTTCTTTGAAACCAAAAAGAACAAAGAGACAACAAACCAGAATCTCTGGGATACAGCTAAAGCAGTGATAAGAGGGAAATTTAGGCCAGGCACGGTGGCTCATGCCTATAATTCCAGCACTTTGGGAGGCTGAGGTGGGTGGATCAGGAAGTCAGGAGTTCGAGACCAGCCTGGCCAAGATGGTGAAACCCTGTCTCTACTAAAAAATACCATCTCACACCAGTTAGAATGGCAATCATTAAAAAGTCAGGAAACAACAGGTGCTGGAGAGGATGTGGAGAAACAGGAAAACTTTTACACTGTTGGTGGGACTGTAAACTAGTTCAACCATTGTGGAAGTCAGTGTGGCGATTCCTCAGGGATGTAGAACTAGAAATACCATTTGACCCAGCCATCCCATTACTGGGTATATACTCAAAGGACTATAAAACTTGCTGCTATAAAGACACATGCACACATATGTTTATTGTGGCATTATTCACAATAGCTAAGACTTGGAACCAACCCAAATGTCCAACAATGATAGACTGGATTAAGAAAATGTGGCACATATACACCATGGAATACTATGCAGCCATAAAAAATGATGAGTTCACGTCCTTTGTAGGGACATGGATGAAATTGGAAATCATCATTCTCAGTAAACTATCGCAAGAACAAAAAACCAAACACTGCATATTCTCACTCATAGGTGGGAATTGAACAATGAGATAACATGGACACAGGAAGGGGAATATCACACTCTGGGGACTGTTGTGGGGTGGGGGGAGGGGGGAGGGATAGCATTGGGAGATATACCTAATGCTAGATGACGAGTTAGTGGGTGCAGCGCACCAGCACGGCACATGTATACATATGTAACTAACCTGCACAATGTGCACATGTACCCTAAAACTTAAAGTATAATAAAAAAAAAAAAATATATATATATATATAGTGCCTTAAAAAAAGAAAACAAAAATACAAAAATTAGCTGGGCATGATGGCACGTGTCTGTAATCCTAACCACTCAGGAGGCTGAGGCAGGAGAATCCCTTGAACCTGGGAGACAGAGGTTGCAGTGAGCTGAGATTGTGCCACTGCATTCGAGCCTGGGTGACAGAGTGAGACTCTGTCTCAAAAAAAAAAAAAAAGAGGCAAATTTATAGCACTAAATGCCCACATCAGAAAGCTAGAAAGATGACAAATTGACACCCTGACATCACAATTAAAAGAACTAGAGAAGCAAGAGCAAACAAATCCAAAAGGTAGCAGAAGACAAGAGATAACTAAGATCAGAGCAGAACTGAAGGAGATAGAGACACAAAAAATGCTTCAAAAAATCAATAAATCCAGGAGCTGGTTTCTTGAAAAAATTAATAGGCCACTCACTAGACTAATAGAGAAGAGAAGAATCAAATAGACACAATAAAATCTGATATATGGGATATCACCATTGACCCCAGAGAAATACAAACTACCATCAGAGAATACCATAAACACCTCTATGCAAATAAACTAGAAAATCTAGAAGAAATGGATAAATTCCTGGACACATACACCCTCCCAAGACTAAACCAGGAAGAAGTCAAAGCCCTGAGTAGACCACTAACAAGTTCTGAAATTGAGGCAGTAATAACCTACCAACCAAAAAAAGCCCATGACCAGATGGATTCACAGCTGAATTCTACCAGAGATACAAAGAAGAGCTGGTACCATTTCTTCTGAAACTATTCCAAACAATTGAAAAGGAGCGACTCTTTTATGAGTCACTCAT
This sequence comes from Homo sapiens, assembly GCF_000001405.40. NCBI lineage: Eukaryota > Metazoa > Chordata > Mammalia > Primates > Hominidae > Homo > Homo sapiens. Next base: position 91,703,907 of record NC_000007.14, read on the forward strand.
TTTATGAGGCCAGCATCATCCTGATACCAAAAGCTGGCAGAGACACAACAACAAAAAAGAAAACTTCAGGCCAATATCCCTGATAAACATCGATGCTAAAATCCTCAATAAAATACCAGCAAACTGAATATGGCAGTGCATCAAAAAGTTTATCCACCAAGATCAACTCAGCTTCATCCCTGGGATGCAAGGCTGGTTCAACATATGCAATTCAGTAAACGTAATCCACCACATAAACAGAACCAATGACAAAAACCACATGATTATCTCAATATAAGCAGAAAAGGCCTTCAATAAAATTTAACATCCGTTCAGGTTAAAAACTCTCAATAAACTAGGTATTAATGGGACATATCTCAAAATAATAAGACAAACAAATATTTATGAGAAACCCACAGCCAATATCATATGGAATGCGAAAAAGCTGGAAGCATTCCCTTTGAAAACCAGCACAAGACAAGGATGCCCTCTCTCACCACTCCTATTCAATGTAGTATTGAAAGTTCTGTCCAGGGCAATCAGGCAAGAGAAAGAAATAAAGCATATTCAAATCAGAAGAGAGGAAGTCAAACTGTCTCTGTTTGCAGACAAGATGATCCTATGTTTAGAAAACCCCATCATCTCAACTCAAAAGCTCCTTAAGCTGATAAGCAGCATCGGCAAAGTCTCAGGATACAAAATCAATGTGCAAAAGACACAATCATTTCTACACACCAACAATAGACAAGCAGAGAGCCAAATCATGTATGAACTCCCATTCACAATTGCTACAAAGAATAAAATACCTAGGAATTCAGCTAACAAGGAACATGAAGGACCTCTTCAAGAACTACAAACCATTGCTCAAGGAAATAAGAGAGGACACAAACAAATGGAAAAGCAATCCATGCTCTTGGATAGGAAGAATCGATATCATGAAAATGGCCCTACTGCCCAAGGTAATTTATAGATTCAATGCTATTCCCATCAAACTCCATTGACATTCTTCAGAGTATTAGAAAAAATTACTTAAAATTCATATGAAACCAAAAAAGAGCCCATATAGCCAAGAAAATCCTAAGCAAAAAGAATAAAGCTGGAGGCATCACATTACCTGACTTCAAACTATACTACAAGGCTCCAGTAACCAAAACAGCATGGGACTGATACCAAAACAGACATATAGATCAATGGAACAGAATAGAGTCCTCAGAAATAAGGCCACACACCTACAATTATCTGGTCTTTGACAAACCTGACAAAAACAAGCAATGGGGAAAAGATTCCCTATTTAATAAATGGTGCTAGGAAAACTAGCTAGCTATATGCAGAAAACTGAAGCTGGACCCCTTCCTTACACTTTATACAAAAATTACCTCAAGATGAATTAAAGACTTAAATGTAAAACCTAAACCCATAAAAACCCTACAAGAAAACCTAGGCAATATCATTCAGGACATAGGTTTAGGCAAAGACTTCATGACAAAAACTCCAAAAGCAATTGCAACGAAAGCTAAAATTGACAAACAGGATCTAATTAAACTAAAGGGCTTCTGCACAGCAAAATAAACTATCATCAGAGTGAACAGGCAACCTACAGAATGGAAGAAAATTTTTGCAATCTACCCATCTGACAAGGGGCTAATATCGAGAATTTACAAGGAACTTAAACAAATTTACAAGAAATAAAAAAACAACCTCATCAAAAAGTGGGCAAATGACATGAACAGACACTTCTCAGAAAAAGACATAAATGCAGCCAACAAATATGTGAAAAAAAGCTCAACATCACTGATCATTAGAAAAATGCAAATCAAAACTACAATGAGATACCATCACATGCCAGTCAGAATGGCAATTACTAAAAAGTCAAGAAACAACAGATGCTGTCAAGGCTGTGGAGAAATAGGAATGCTTTTACCCTGTTGGTGGGAATGTAAATTAGTTCAACCATTGTGGAAGACAGTGTGGTGATTCCTCAAGGATCTAGACCCAGAAATACCATTTGACCCATTACTAAGTATATACCCAAAGGAATATAAATCATTATCTTATAAAGATACATGCACACATACGTTTATTGTGGCACTATTCACAATAGCAAAGACATGGAACCAACCCAAATGCCTATCAATGATAGACTAAATAAAGAAAATGTGGTACATATACACAATGGAATACTGTGCAGCCATAAAAAGGAATGTGATCATGTCCTTTGCAGAGAAATGGGTGAAGCTGACAGCCATCATCCTCAGCAAACTAACACAGAAACAGAAAACCAAACACCACATATTCTCACTCATAAGTGGGAGTTGAACAATGAGAACATATGGACACAGGGAGGGTAACAGCACACACCAGGACCTGTCAGCCTGGGGCAAGGGGAGGGAGACCATCAGGACAAATAGCTAATGCATGCAGGGCTCAAAACCTAGGTAATGGGTTGTTAGATGCAGCAAACCACCATGGCACATGTATACCTATGTAACAAACCTGCACGTTCTGCACATGTACTCTGGAACTTAAAGTAAAAATTAAAAAAAAAAAAAACTATAGCAGTGTTTCACTCATTGAATGTAGTAACTACACCTTTTTAAAAAGTCATTTTTGCAGACCCTGCTACCTGTCAGCCCATCATATGTCCTGCTCCTTGCTCCAGCCACTACCAATCTGAGGTTCTCACCATGGACATTCCCATTCCTAGGGAGAGATGCAGATCCCTAGCCAGCTTCTGAAGGAGGCAAGGACCTAATTGTCCAGCTGATCCAGGAAGAGGACAGGAGTGAGCAGGCAGCTTGGGCAGCCCCTTACCTTAGAGGAGTTTGGGGGAATGAGGCACAGGGCTGGGAGTGGGACTCAGGTTTTTGGCCTATCCGGGGAAGACCTAAGTTTTATGATGCCTGAAGTTTGTACAATTTGGTAGACTTTAAGAAAAATAATAGTTCTGTAAATAGAAGTCCTACATGGATCTCACCGGGCTAAAATCAAGAGGCCACAAGATGGCTAACTAGAGACATGAGACACCTGCCCTCTTCAGAAAGAATAAAAACTGTGAATAGACAATCATACCTCAAACAGGACATCTAAGAGAGAACACTAGAATCCAACATAGAGCTCAAAAAAAATACCTGAGGCACAGAAGGGGAAGGAAGCAAGCAGCTGGCTCAACCAAGATCAACCAATAGCAAGGGGATTGGTATTGTGGGGAAAAGGTAAGTGAGAAAGCTTCAGTTGTCCACATCCTTGCCACAGACTATTGTTATCTGAACCACAGGAGAGTTTCTCTACCCACACGAACCCTGACACTAGCATGAGCAGTGATCTGGAGACCCCTGCAAGAGCATTGCACCCGACAGGGAACTCACACTGTGTCATTCAAACCCTGCTGAGACATGATCAGCTATGGCAGGGACCCATTTGGGGAGTAGCTATCATGGAACAGCATCTTGCTCTGGGAAAACAGCCCCTATCTCTCCACATCCTGGGAGCTCCCACCGACATTCCCCAGGATCCACTCAGAAGGCTGCCGCAGCACAGCACTGGCTAGACCCAAAGTTACTACAAGGTCTCTAGTACTCTAGTTCACAAGAAGTACTGTTCCCCAGGGAAAAAGACAGTGTCATGTAGCAAAAGGCAGCCCCTGGGACAAAGGAAACCAGAGAATGCACTTTGCAGAGCCTGAGAACTCCCTACCTTGGGCTGTGTGAAGAGACCCTGCCCCTAGCAGTGGCACAAACTCTGTGCTCAGCTTTGCAGGCAAGGAGTGACATCCTTTTTACCAGTGGAGCAGCCTCTGGGCTCAGGCTCTTGCACAGAGGACATGAATGCTCCTCTCCCTCCACACACCCATTCCTACTGCTGCTGGAGGCTTGGCCAAGGCAGAGCTGGAAGGTTACCTGTCTAGGATGGTGAGTGGTGACTCTGACCCCAACCCCCCATGGCAGCTTGGCTCTCATGCCTGGGCTTGTGCATGAAGGCAGGGTCCTTCCCTCCCTCTGCGTGGCGCTACACAACTGCTGCAACAAAGAGAAGAAGAGCTTGAGAGTGGCATGTCTGGGGATGTTGGGAGCAGCCCTGCACTGCAGCCAGCACCAACATCAGCTTGCACTGCTCAGGACACAGAGGGTCAGCCCACCACTACCACCATGATAGCCCATACCACCCTGGTTTCCCAGGGACCCAAGAATCTGTTAACCCACCCAGCCCACCACTGCCACTACTGGCTTCCAAGCAAGCCACCTGAAGGCCCACCATAGGCCCACTGCGAACTGCCAACACAGGTGCCAGCATACACCACCCTGGGCAAAAAGACAGGCATCTTCAGCCTACTACTACCATTACTGAAGCCTAAAGCCTAGCCCACATGGCTTACCAGTCTCCAGCACAACTTCATCAAAGCCTCCACTAATAAATGCACCCTAACTCTCCATGTAAATGCAAGAAAGCACTAACACTGTTGATAGTCAAGGAAATCATACAGAGAATACAGTATTGCACATACCCAGAATCAAAGCCGATGCGCCTTGCCTTACCAACACCACAGATTCATCTTCAGGAAAAAGTCTTCCGCTATGAAAGCAAATAGAAAAACAGAAGTGACTGTTACAGCAGATGTGCAAATATCAATGTAAGGATACAGGACACATGAAAAAGCAAGGAAATATGATACCTGAAAGGGAACATAATAATTGTCCAGAAATTGATCTCAATTAAAAATAAAACTTCAAAATTCTAGATAAAGAATTCAAAATATTAATTTTCAAGAAGTCAGTGAAACGAAAGAGAATTTTGAAAAACAATGCAAAGAAATCAGGAAAACAATTCAGGATTAAATGAGAAAATTATCAAAAAGATAGGTATCGACTTTTTTTAAACAGAACTAAATAGAAATTCAAGAAGAAATATAAAATACATTTGAAAGCTTAAACAACAGACTAGATTATGCAGAAGAAAGAATCTTAGAACTTGAGCACAGGTTTTTTTTAAATAACCCAGTCGGACAAAAATAAAGAAACAAATATTTTAAAAATGAGCAAGGCCTTTATGACATTTGGTACAACATAAAGTGATGAAATATATGAATTATGAGTGTCCCAAGAATAAGTAGGAACAATGAAAGGATTACAAAATATATTTACCAAAAGAATAGATGAAAACTTTCCAAGTCTAGCAAGAAATTTAGATATTCAGATAAAGGAGGCTAAATGATCTCAAGGAAGATATAATGCAACAAGGCCTTCTCCAAAGCACATTATAATCAGACTGTCCAAATAAAAAGCAAATCTTAAAACAGGAAGAGAAAACACCTAGACAGCTATAAGGGAATCCCTATGAGACTAACAGCAAATTTCTCAGCAGAAACCTCACAGACCAGAAGAGAATGGGATAGTATATTCAAAGTGCTGAAAGAAAAGAAAAACTGGCAGCCAAGAATACTATATCCACCAAGTAATCCTTCATAAGTGAAGGAGAAATACAATTTTTTAATTGTTTGATAGAGTTTTATTACATTATCAGTAATACTATAAAATGTACATTTGATACAAATTAATGTTCAATATCTGTAAGTTTTTGGTGCATTTTATTATAGAGTGACACCTATTTACTTTGGGTAATTTAAATTATTCATGCAGGGTTGGGATTCTGGTTATTCTGTTCATGAATAAGGATATAAAATGTGGTATATTAGAAATATTATATTTTCAAGGACTTTTTTTCTATTTAAAAAATTTCTTTTTTTTTAATTTTACTTTAAGTTCTAGGGTACACGTACACAACATGCAGATTTGTTATATATGTATACATGTGCCTTGTTGGTGTGCTGCACCCATTAACTCATCATTTACATTAGATACATCTCCTAATGCTATCCCTCCCCCCTTCCCCCACCCCACAACAGGCCCCGGTGTGTGACATTCCCCTTCCTGTGTCCAAGTGTTCTCATTGTTCAATTCCCAATTATGAGTGAGAAGATGCGGTGTTTGGTTTTTTGTCCTTGCGATAGTTTGCTGCGAATGATGGTTTCCAGCTTCATCCATGTCCCTGCAAAGGACATGAACTCATCATTTTTTATGGCTGCATAGTATTCCGTGGTGTATATGTGCCACATTTTCTTAATCCAGTCTATCATTGATAGACATTTGGGTTGGTTCCAAGTCTTTGCTATTGTGAATAGTGCCGCAATAAACATACGTGTGCATGTGTCTTTATAGCAGCATGATTTATAATCCTTTGGGTATATACCCAGTAATGGGATGGCTGGATCAAATGGTATTTCTATTCCTAGATCCTTTATTTATCAGACAAGCAAATGCTGAGGAAATTGATTATCACTAAACTGTTTCTATGAGAAATGCTCAAGGGAATCCTAAACCTGGAAGTGAAAGGATGACATTTACCATCATGAAAACACACAAAATTATAAAACTCACTAGTAAAGCAGTCACACAAAGAAGGGAAAGAGAAAGGACTCAAACGGTATCACTATAGAAATTCACCAGACCACGATGACAAACAATAAGAGAAAAACAAAAGAGCAAAGAATATATAAAACAACCAGAAAACAGCTAACAACATGACAGGAAGAAAGCTGCACATATCAACAATAACCTTGAACATAAGCAGATTAAATTATCCACATAAAAGACATAGAATAGCTGAATAGACTTTTTTAAATGATGCAACCATATTCTGCTTACCAGCATATATGCCTATCAGCATAGATACTGAAAAGCCCACCTTACCAGTAAAGACACATATAGACTGAGAAAGTAAAGGAATGGGAAAAGATGTTCCATGCAAACAAAAACCAAAAGCAAGCAGGGATATCTGGACTTATATCAAGCAAGGCTGACTTTAAGTCAAGAACAAGAGAAAACAAAAAGAAGGGAATTACATGAAGATAAAAGGATCAATGCAGCAAGAATATATAACAATTCTAAATATATATGTGCTCAACACTGGAGAACTAGTTTCATAAAACAAATATTACTAGATCTATATACAGATATAGACTGCAATATAATAGTGAGGGACTTCAACACCCCATTTTCAGCATTAGGCAGATTACCTAGACAGAAAATCAACAAAAAAATTTAATTTAAACTAGACTTTAGAACAAATGAACCTAACAGACATTTTCAGAGCATTCTATCCAACAGCTGCAGAATACACATTCTTCTCATCAGCACATGGAACTTTACCAAAATAGACCATATGTTAGGCCACAAAACAAGTCTCAACATATTTTTAAAAATCAAACTCATATCAAGTATCTTCCCAGGTCACAATGGAGTAAAACTAGAAATTAACCCCCAGAGGAACTTTGGAAACTATATAAATACACGGAAATTAAACAACATGCTTCTGAATAACCTCTGGGTCAAAGAATAAATTAAGATGCAAATTTTAAAAAATTCTTGAAACAAATGAAAATACAAATACAACATACTGAAACCTGCGGAATACAGCAAAAGCAGTGCTAAAAGGAAAGTTTATAGTAATAAATGCCTACATCAAAAAAGTAGAAAGATGACAAATTAACAATCTAACAAGACACCTCAAGAAACTAGAAAAGTAAAAACAAACCAAGCTCAAAATAACTAAGACCAGGGAAGAACTAAATGAAATAGAGACTTGAAAAAAAGGATCAATGAAATGAAAAGTTGGCCCTTCAAAAAGATAAAAACAATTGATAAACCACTAGCTAGATTAATCAAGAAAAGGAGAAAGAAGACCCAAATAAACAAAATAAGACACAAAAAAGGGGCAGTACAATTGATATGACAGAAATTTTAAAAAATCATCACGGACTATGATAAACAACTATACACTGACAAACTGAAAAACCTAGAAAAAAAAAAGAATAAATTCCTGGAAACATACAATCTACCAAGATTGAATCAGGAAGACATGTAAAACCTAAACAGACCAATAATGAGTATTATTATTGAATCAGTAACAAAAAAGGCTTCCAATAGAGAAAATCCCAAGACAGGATGGATCCACAGCCAAATTCACCCAAATGTGCAAAGAAGAACTAATATCAACCCTCATGAATCTATTCCAGAAAAGCCAAAGAGGAGAGAATTCTCCCTAATTCATTCTATGAGGCTAGCATCACACTAATACCAAAAACAGATAAGGAGAAAAAAGAAAAAAAGAAAAGAAAAGAGAAAGAGAGAAAGAAAGAAAGAAAGAAAGAAAGAAAGAAAGAAAGAAAGAAAGAGAGAGAGAGGAAGGAAGGAAGGAAGGAAGGAAGGAAAGAAAGAAAGAAAGAAAGAAAGAAAGAGAAAGAAAGAAAGAAAGAAAGAAAGAAAGAAAGAAAGAAAGAAAGAAAGAAAGAAAGAAAGAAAGAAAGAAAGGCAGACAAAAAAGAGGGAGGCTGGAAGGAGGAAGAAGGAAGGAAAGAAGGAAGGAAGAAAGAGATGGGAAGGAGGAAGAAGGAAGGAAAGAAGGAAGGAAGGAAGGGAGGGAAGGAGGGAGGAGACAAGGATGTCCACTTTCATTATTCTTATTTATGATAGTATTGGAAGCCATAGCCAGAGCAATCAGGCAAGATAAATGAATAAAAGGCATCCAAATTAGAAAATAGGAAATCAAATTATCCCTCTGTGCTGATGATACGATCTGATACCTAGAAAAACCTTAAGACTCCACCAAAAAGCTCAGATTTGGTAAATGAATTCATTAAGTTGCAGTATACAAGATTAATGTACAAAAATCAGTAGCATTTCTATACACCAATAATGATCTAGCTGAGAAGAAAATCGACAAGGCAATTCCATTTACAATAGCTACAAAAAAAATACCTAGTAATAAATTTAACCAAGGAGGTGAGCAATCTCTGCAAGGAAAACTACAAAACAATGATGAAAGAAATTTAAGACCAGACACAGTGGCTCATGCCTGTAATCTCAGCACTTTTAGAGGCAGAGGAAGGAGGATCACTTGAGCCTAGGAGTTCAAGACTATCCTGGGCAACATAGCAAGACCCTGTCTCTACAAAAACAATTCTTAATTAGCTGAGCATGGTGGCATACAAGCTACTTGGGAGGCTTGGGCAGAAGGACTGCCTAAACCCAGGAGGTCAAAGCTGCAGTCAGCAGTGATTGTGCCACTGCAATCCAGCCTGGGTGTCAAATCAGGAGTTAAAAAAAGAAAAACAAAAGAAAAAAAAAGAAATCAAAGAGGACACCAAAAAACAAAACAAAACAAAAAATCCCATGTTCATGAATTGAAGGAATTAATATTATTTAAAATGACCATATTGCCCAAAGCAATCTACAGATTCAGTGCAATCCCTATCAAAATACCAATGCCATTCTTCACAGAATTAGAATGTGACTAGACTCCTAAGATTCATGTGGAACAAAAGGAAAAAAAAAATGCTGAATAGCCAAAGCAATCCTAAGCAAAAAGAATAAATTTGAAGGCATCACATTACCTGACTTCAAAATATACTATAAGGCTATGGTAACTAAAACAGCCTGGTATTGGTATAAAATTAGACATATGGACCAATGGAGCAGAATAAAGAACTCAGAAATAAACCCACATATGTTCAAACAACTGATCTTTGACAAAGCTGACAAGAAATTACACTGGGGAAAGGAAATCTTGTTCAATAAATGGTGCTGAGAAAGTTCGATAGCCACATTCAGAAGAATAAAACTGGACCGCTATATCTCTCACTATATACAAAAAACAACTCAAAATGGATTAAAGGCTTAAACATAAGACCCCAAACTATAAAACTGCTAGCAGAAAAACCTAGGGGAAAACTCTCCTGGACATTGATCTAGGCAAAAAAATCATGACTAAGACCTTAAAAGCACAGGCAACAAAAACAAAAATGACAAATGGGGCTTAATTAAACTAAAATGCTTCTGCACAGCAAAAGAAATAATCAACAGAGTGAACAGACAACCTGTTGAATGAGAGAAAATATTTGCAAACTATTTATCAGACAGGTGACTAATACCCAAAATATACAAGGAACTCAAAACAGCAGGAAAAAACAATCCCATTAAAAAGTGGGCAAAGGACATGAATAGACATCTCTCAAAAGAAGACATATGGCCAACAGGTATATTAAAAAATGCTCAACATCAGTAATCATTAGGGAAATGTAAGTCAACACCACAAGAAGACATCATCCTACTCCAGTCAGAATGTCTATTACTAAAAAGACAAAAAATAACAGATGTTGGTGAGGATGCAGAGAAAAGGGAACTCTTATACACAGTTGGTGGGAATGTAAACTAGTCCAGCCACTATGAAAAACAGTATGGAGAGTTCTCAAAATACTGAAAATAGAATTACCACTACATCCAACAATCCCACTACTAGTTATCTACTCAAAGGAAAAGGGTATCAAAGGGTACCTGCACTCACGAGTTTATTATAGCACTATTCATAATAGAAAGGCATGGAATCAATTTAAATGTCCCTCAGTGGATGAATGAATAAAGAAAATGTGGTATTTATACACCATGGAGTACTATTCAGTCATAAAAAAATGAAATCATGTCGTTTGCAGTAACAAGAATGGAACTGATGGTAATTATCTTAAATGAAATAGATAAATATCACATATATTTATACACATAAATACTTATCCAAAAAGCTAAATATCACATGTTCTTGCTTATATGTAGGATCTAAAAAATTTGATAACATGGGGATAGAGAGTGGAAAAATAGATAACAGATGCTAGGAAGAGTGATTCGGGGTAAAGGGGAAGGATGAAGAGAAGTGGGTTAAAGGGTACAGGGTACAAATATAGAGTAAGATTGTAGGAATAAAAGCAATGTTTGATAGCTGAGTAGGGTGATTCTACTTAATAAAAATGTTTTCTACTTGGGTGATGAACACCCTAAATACCCTGACTTGATCAGTATGCATTATATATATGTAACAAAATTTCACATATACCCCATAAAGGTGTACAAATAAAAATAATAAAATTTTAAAACTCATAATTATTCAACATTGAATGTTTGTGAGACAAGGATTCCCGAGCCAGGGATGTGGGAAAATGGGGGAAAAGAAAGGAAATGTACTACAAAAGTCAAAGATGAATAATTTACAATCCTGGCTTCCAATAAGTCAGAGGCTGTAGAGGAAAAAGTAATCATAACAAATAATTAATTTAATGAAGTGTTGTTACTGAGTGCTAGTGCCATGGAGAAGGAAGCAACACCAACTTTCAGCAAATATTTATTGAATGAATGAACTAACTCTATTAATGGAAGGTATATTTGTGGTGAATTTTTTACAGATTAGCAGGTCTTCGCCTGAAGAAAGGATGAAGGAACATTTCGGGTAAAAGGAATAACATACAACTAGAAAAGATCCAGAGTATATGATCAGTCTAGAAAATCAACGATTCTCAAATTGGGTAGTACATTGGAGTTACCTTGGAAATGTAAAAAAAAAAAAAAAAAGTGTGGCCTGGATCACACCCCCCAAAATTTTGACTTAATTGGTATGGGGAGAGGCCTGAGTACTTGTGTATTTTATACTTCCCCAGGTGCTTTTAATATGCAGCAAAGTTTAGGAACCACTAGTGGACCATCCTGCAAATTTCCTTAATTCTGGTTTGTTGACTTTCCTGCCACAATACTCATTAAATCTTTAAGTAAGTCACAAAATTAGAGCATGACAAGTTCCAACAAATTCACTGGGGCTCTTTTTGTCCTGTGTTGTCTATTATCTCCTCTACAGACATTAGATGACTCTAAATTAGCCCCATGATGATGATGGGCAGCCATAAAATTTGAACAAAAGGGGTGATTGGGTCTTCTCAGTCGAGTCCCATAACCCATCATGTGCCCATACTCTACTAGAGGATCTTACAGTGGCATAAAGGTATGGATTCTACCCTTCTCTCATTCCAGTCCATCCCCTCAGCTCCCATATTTCTGAGGCTTTTATTGTAACAAGGTATTATACATTGTATGGAGGGATATCCTTCCCGTTTGCCATAGAGTGTATTAAACAGTTCCCCTGGAGACCAAACAAGTTAAAAAAAAAAAACACAGAATAGAAAGAACTAGGTTGTTGTCAAATAGTACAGAAATTATTAGTTGCACTGTCCACATAGAGATCAGAATACTTCTCTCCACACGATTTCTCCTTTGTGCCTTTATGGAGAGATTAAGGAGGGTTGATGGTTTACACCTGCTGGGTTTATGTCTGGTGGCAGGAAAGACTCACAGAAAAAGATTTCTTCCTAAGGGAGACTTAGACAGGGTTCTTTCTGTTTTTAACACGTACCATTCATTTAACTTAAGGACATAGTCTTTCTTTTTATGTCACTATGACATTCCAACACAGGACAAAGGGGAAAGAGCATTATTCCATGTGACATTTGAAAACCTAACCTTTATCAGCTGCTCCTGAAGGCCATTTCTCCCACATCTGGGAGTTAACTGTACAAGGTCAGGAGCCCTGGCACACTGTTGGAGCATGCAGCAAAATCAGGAGCTGGGACTGCCTTTCTGGCATCCTCATTATGGTTTTTTTCCTTTCATTCATTCATCCCATTTCTGAGTACCTACAGCAATGTTTCCAAATCTGCCTGATGATAAAATCTCCAAAGATCTTGTTAAAAAAAAAAAAAAAACAGGTTTCCAGTTCCCACCACAGTCTTCCATGTTGAAAGACAAATTGAGGCCAGGAGCGGTAGCTCACACCTGTAATCCCACTTTGGGAGGCCAAAGTGAGAGGACTGCTGGAGCCCAGAAGTTGAAGACCAGCCTGAGCAACATAGGGAGATCCCGTCTCTACAAATATATTTTTTTAATAGCCAGGTGTGTGGCCCATGCTTGTGGTCCCTGTTACTTGGGAGACTGAGGTAGGAGGATTGCCTGAGCCTGGGAGGTTGAGGCTGCAGTGAGCTGTGATTGCATCACTGCACTCCAGCCTGGGTGACAGAGTGAGACCCTGTCTCAAAAAAAAAAAAAAAAAAAAAGATAAACTGAGGCACATTAAAATATTACAATTTATTTGAGCATTTAGTGATTCCTGAATTGGGCAGCTCCAGACCACAAGCAGTTAAAGGGCTCCACCAAAGGGGCAGGAGGAGAAAGCTTTTTAGGGTGAATGCATGAAGCAAGGCAAATAAAATATTTTTTTTATTATACTTTAAGTTTTAGGGTACGTGTGCACAATGTGCAGGTTAGTTACATATGTATACATGTGCCATGCTGGTGCGCTGCACCCACTAACTCATCATCTAGCATTAGGTATATCTCCCAATGCTATCCCTCCCCCCTCCCCACACCCCACCACAGTCCCCAGAGTGTGATATTCCCCTTCCTGTGTCCATGTGATCTCATTGTTCAATTCCCACCTATGAGTGAGAATATGCGGTGTTTGGTTTTTTGTTCTTGCGATAGTTTACTGAGAATGATGATTTCCAATTTCATCCATGTCCCTACAAAGGACATGAACTCATCATTTTTTTTATTGGTTAAAGTGGATCAGTAGCCTTATTTGGATGATTCCAGTAGAAAGTCCCACTAGAGGTCAGTTGGCAGTTTCTGATTGGTTGTTTTCCTGTTAACACTGAGTTGGGTTTCAGTTTGTTTAGTAGAAACCCAGAGCAATGGAGCCACCCCAGTGTAATGGCCTCCGCATGAATTATTTTAACACCCTGAATCAGAATCTCCAGGGGGAAGTCCATGGGAATCTGCATTTTTAACAAGCACCTACATTATTTTTACTATATACATAGTTTGAAATGGTTGGTCACTACCCTTGGTGAACTCCATGAATCACTGTTCTGTGAATCTAGTTCAAAAAGGTCCTTTCTAGTTGTAGTCCCAGATGAAATGATGTTTTCTCTATCAGTATTTTTCAGATCTCCATGTTCATGTTCCCTGTTATGTCAAGCCCACCCACAATTCCTTAAAAAGTCAGTTAGCAACAATGCATATTTATCCATTTAAGTCATCACCTTTCTTTCTTGTATTGTAATGCTGACAGTCCAACATCCCATTAAATGTGAGTACCAGCATAGGTTTTTCCAGTGTAACATTATTTTCTAACAAAATAAAACTTTCAACACCAGTTATGTGGGTGAGGTTAGCTGGAGTCCTGTGGAGCGAGATGGAATTCTGACAAAGGTCCTGAAGTTCTTACAATTTTGAAAACCTCTTTCTCTACATTAACTGGCCATAACTTCCAGGAAATTCAGGTGGAGCTCCTGTTTTGCAGACCCACAGTCCTCCTAGTCATGCTTTATGTATCTACTCCTAGGCATGGAAATTTAGAGTGCAAATAATTTGTGTCAATTGTGTTGGGTGGCAACAGATAGTGACTTTACTCAGCAAGGAGACATTTCAACATATCTGTCTCTTAAAGGCTGCCAGCTGTGGGAAACAATCAAGGGCTAGCATCACACAGGCAGGAAGGTGAACCAGGGAATGTGCTAGGAGAGAATAGAATGCATATCCAGTGTCTGCTTTCCTCTCATAAACTGTGGTTTCGGCAAGTGCAAGTATTGTAATTTGCTGTCTTTTTTTTTCTCCCAAAGGCCATTTTGTCTTATCTGATGTTGAAACACTTCCACATAGCTGTGAACACCAAAACATAAAAAAAAGAGAAATCACTTGGAAATTTGTTCGTTGTCTCTTGCTATGCTTGACATTTCCACACTGATAAGGTACAGTTAAATATTGACTTTTTGGTTAAGTTCAGATTAGGTGTCTTGTCCATGAGCATTGATTGCAAACCATTATCCTTCTTCTTCTTCAGGGCACTAAGTTGTCTTACAAAAATAGAAAGGACAAAAGAAGAAAAAATTGTTAGCTGAAATATTGTCATTAATTACCTGAAGGTCTTTCCCAAGCTGTGATAAAAATTGTCATTGACTTTTGAGATATGGGGGTATTTTGTTGAAGACAGTGTTGGTAAATGTTAGAACATATTAAAAATTGGATTTTATATTTGTAGATTATTTACATATATCTTCAAGTTCATCTAACAAAGAAAATGCCACCCTATTATCAATAAGTGCACAAACTAGGTAACTGGCAGACTTTTATTATTTACCAGTTAAACATTTATCAGTGCCATACTAAAATCAATCGATGAAGATTGATGCACTCAATTTAGCCAGAGAACATCCAATATCGCAGATTAAGCTTCCTCTTACCATTCTGCTAGAAATAGAACAATTAAGAGAACCTACAACACAGATTATTTCACCTCACTAAACCCCTCATGAGTTTCTGCATTGTCTCCCAATGGAGACTGTAAATTCCTGAAAGCAGGATGATCTCTGATTGATTTCCCAAGAGGCATCATTTTTTGTCTTCTGTCATTCCTTATCACTCCACCAACTTAGATAATTAAATCCTATTTGGAATGCTTTTCAAGTCAAATGCTCAGTCAAATCAACAGATCCTGCAGGGCTGTGGAGAAACAAGGTATGGTCTCTGTTCCCAAGGAGTTTATAATTTATTTAAAAACAAGGTAATACAGAGTTACTAAAATAATGGTAGCAAAGGAAAAATCAGAGTTCAGTGGGAAAAATCTCACACTGTGGACTAGAATGGTGATGTCAGCCTTCATGGATAGATATGCCCCGACCTTGAAAGAATTAACTAGAGGAAGGACAAAAGCATTCTAAATTTTCTGTGAGACAGGACATTCTTATTACAGTATTTTGTCCACCATTCCCCAAGATTAAAGTATTTTATATATATACTTGGCCCTCTGTATCTATGGGTTCTGTATCCATGGGTACTGCATTCATGTATTCAACAAACTATGAATTTTAAAAATTCAGGGAAGAAAATGATGGTTGTGTCTGCATTGAACATGTAAAGACTTTTTTCTTGTCATTATTCCCTAAACAATATAACGACAACTTACACACCATTTACATTTCACTAGGTATTATAAGTAATACAAAGGTGATTTAAAGTATAGAGTGGGATGTGCATAGCTTATATGAAAATACACCATTTAATATAAGGGACTTGAGCATCCATGGATTCTGATATCCATAGGGGATCCTGGAAACAAATCTCTCACTGATACTGAGGGACAACTGTAAAAGAAATTTTGTTTTAGGACCCAAGTGACTAGCTTGATTTTTCCTCTTTTTAAGAAAAAAGAAAACTAGACATCTTTGCTATTGCTTTCATAAGGCAGCTAAAATCTGAAATATATAAAAGTACATATATGAAACATATGATATTGCTGACATTTGTCTATTTTTGAACTAAAGAAGCTGTAATTTCACATGATTCAACCATACACATATATACTTGCATAAGCATATATACACAAACACACAAATATGAGTACATATTTAATATAAAACTTCTTACCTTTATTTGAGCAAAATTTGCTACCTGTGCTAATTTTCAGTTGCATTAACATCTAACAAGCAAGTAATAAATTCTCAAAAAAGCCATTTCTATCAGCACAATTAGTATGTATTAACTATAAAGTCTGTTTTCAGTATCTATAGAATGTCCTTGACTTGCCAAAAATAATATTTGATGACTCAAGTTGTGAATCATGAAACAGAATTTGATTCATAGTTGGATAGGCACTTACATTAAATCTTCACCCCTGGGAATCCACACCCAAGTCTACCAGAAATCAAGAATGAAAGAAATTGGAGATCTTGAGTCATCTCCACCCTGAATATGTGATCCAGGTGACAAAAGCACAAATGAACAAATGAGTGTTTCAGCAAATAAACCAAAAATGAAATAACATTTACAATACCACTGTGTACCCCACCTAACACAGCAAGCATCTGTGCACACCATCAGGGGGACTTAGGACAGGCCCTCCCTACTTCCAGCCACCACCACAGGTACCTGCACATGTCATCCAGAGGCCTGGGGATCAACTCATCCCCGTTGCCACTGCTGGAATCCACACACACCGTCTGAGGGCCTGAGGGCAAACTCACCCTGCCCACCAGCACTGCCACTACTTCTGGGGCCCAGCACATTATCCAAGAGTTGAGAGATCAACTCCTGCCATCCACCACTGGCACCCATGCACGCTTTACAGTAGCCTGAGAATAGGCCCACCACACCACTACAGCTGCCCATGTACTCTGTCCAGTGGCCTGAAGATAGACCCATCCTTCTATTGCTGGTGACTATGCCTGCCTCCCAAAAACTCAAGTACTGGCCCACTCAGCCTGCTGCTGCCACCATTGCTGGCACCCACCTGCATGTACCACATGGGGTCCTGGAAACTGGCCCACCCAGCCCTCTCATGCCACTACTGTCACCTGTGCATGATATTCAAGGGCCTGAGTATTAGCTCACCACTGCCGCTACTATCACTGACCCAACACACACTGCCAAGGGGCCTGAGGACCCACCCACCTGCCTGGCCCACTACTAGCACCCAAGCAAGCTGCCTGGGACCCCAAGGACCAGCCCACCTAGACACACCACCACTGGCACCTGGTACATCACCTGGGGGCCATGGATCTGCACACCCAACCTGCCACTTCCACCACTGGTACCCAAGACTGAACCACTTGGAATCCCCACCCCCAGCAAAGCTTTGCCACAGCCTCTACTAACAATCACAGCCTAAGTCACTGAAGAACTGACAAACACCACTAACACTGATTACAAATGAAGAAATCATATAGAAATGATAATGCTGTGCCAACCCACAATCAAAGCCAAATCACCATGCCCAACTAACAATATAGATACATCTACAGGAAAAAGTCTTTACCTAAGAAAACCAATCCATAAAATTGGTAGAGACAACTGTTATACCAGATATGCAGATATCAACATCTTGTATCCTTATATAAGAAACATGAAAAAGCAAGGAAATCTTCTATCCTTATACAAGAAACATGAAAAAACATGAAAAAGCAAGGAAACAAGACACCTCCAAAGGAACACAATAATTAACCAGTAACAGATACCAAAAAAATGGACATTTATGAAATGCCTGAAAAATAATTTAAAATAATGATACTAAAGAAACTCAGGGAAAAACAAGAGAACATAGATAAATAATACAAAGAAATCAGGAGAAAACAATTCCTGATCTGAACAAAACATTCAACAAAGAGATAGATATGCTCAAAAAGAACTAATGAGAAATACTGGAACTGAAGAACTCAATGAATAAAATTTAAAAATACAATTGAGAACTTCAACAATATACTAGATCAAGCAGAAGAAGGAATATCTAAACTTGAAGACAGGTCCTCGAAATAACAAAGTCAGATCCCACCCCAAAAAAAAGAAAAGAATAAAGAATAAAAAAGAATGAAGAAAGCCACATATAAACAGCATAAAGTGACCAAATATTCAAATTGAGGGAGTTCCAAAAGAAGAGATGGGCAAAGGCATAGAAAACCTATTTAACAGGTCTTGAAGAGATATAGACATCCAAATACAAAAATCTCAAATATCCTCAAATAGATTCAACCCCAAAAGGTCTTCTGAAAGTACTTCATAGTCAAACTGTCAAAACCTAAAGACAAAGAGAGAATTATAAAAACAGCAAGAGAAAAGTATCAGGTAACATGTAAGGGAATCCATATCACACTAACAGTGGATTTCTCAGCTGACACCTCACAGGTCAAGAAAGAATGGGATGATATTCAATGTACTGTAAGAAAAAAAGTCAGACAATAATATTATAACCAGCAAAGCTATCCTTCAAAAATGAAGAAGAAATTAAGTCTCCCAGACAAACAAAAACTGAGGAAATTTGTCACAACTAGACTAGCCCTACAAGAAATGCTTCAGGGAGTCCTGTATCTGGAAGCAAAAAATAATATCTACCATTATGAAACACAATTCTAAACATATAAGCACACAACACTTTAACATCAAATATATAAAGCAAATATTATTAGATCTATAGGTAGAGATAGACCCCAATATGATAATAGTTAGGGACTTCAACATCCAACTCTCAGCATTAGACAAATCATCTAGACAGAAGATCAACAAAGAAACATTGGATTTAAACTTCACTTTAGACCAAATGGACCTTACAGAACATTTCACCCCACAGCTGCAGAATATATATCTCCTCAGCAGCACATGGAACATCCTCCAGAATAGACCATATGTTAGACCACAAAACAAATCTCAACAAGTTTTAAAAACTGAACTCATATCAAGCATTTTTTCAGACCACAATGGAATAAAACTAGAAATCAATAGCAAGAGGAACCTTGAATGCTGTATATATACATGGAAACTACACAACTTGCTCCTGAATGACTAATGGCCCAATGAAGAAATTAAGAAGGAAGTCAAAAAATTTATTGAAATGAATGAAAGTGGAAACACAGCATACCAAAACTTATGGTATTGGTACAACAAAAGCAGTGCTGACAGGGAAGTTAACAGAAATAAATGCCTACATAAAAAAAAAAGCAGATTTGAAATAAACAACCTAGAGGTGCACCTCAAAGAACTAGAAAAATCAGGAGAAATCAAACCCAAAATTAGTAGAAGAAAAGAAATAATAAAGATTCAAGCAGAACTAAACAAATGGAGACTAAAAAAAATAAAGGATCAATGAAACAAAAAGTCGTTTTTTAAAAAAACAAACAAAACTGACAAAACTTTTCTTAGACTAGGAAAAAAAAAGGAAGACCCAAATTAATGAAACCAGAATAGAAAAAGGAGACATTACAAGTGATACCACAGAGATACAACTAAAGTACACTAACAAATTGGAAATCCTAGAGGAAATGGTAAGTTCCTGGACACATACAACCTACCAAGTTTGAATCATGGAAAAACATAAAACCTGAACAGACTAATAATGAGTAACAAGATTGAATCAGTAATACAGAGCCTCCCAATAAAGAAAAGCTGAGGATTGAATTGCTTTACTGCTGAATTCTACCAAACTATAAAGAAAAATACATACCATTTCTTCTCTTACTATTTCAAAAAATAGAAGAGGAGGGATTTTTTCCTAACTCATTACAAGGCTAACATTACCCTGATCCTGAAATCAGACAAGGACACAACGACAACAATAACAAAAACTACAGGCCAATATCTCTACTACTGAACATAGATGCAAAAATCCTCAATGAAATACTAGCAAACTGAATCCAACAGCACATCAAAAAGATACTACACCATGATCAAGTGGGATTTATCCCAGGGATACAAGGATGTTCAAGATACACAAATCAATAAATATGATATATCACATCAACAGAATGAAGGACAAAAACCATATGATCATTCCTATAGATGCAAAAGTACATGTGATAAAATTCAGCAGCCTGGCCGGGCACAGTGGCTCACGCCTGTAATCCCAGCATTTTGGGAGGCTGAGGTGGGCGGATCACAAGGTCAGGAGATCGAGACCATCCTGACTAACACGGTGAAACCCCATCTCTACTAAAAATACAAAACATTAGCCGGTTGTGGTGGTGGGCACCTGTAGTCGCAGCTACTCGGGAGGCCGAGGCAGGAGAATGGTGTGAACCCAGGAGGCGGAGCTTGCAGTGAGCCGAGATCGCGCCACTGCACTCCAGCCTGGGGCACAGAGCGAGACTCCGTCTCAAAAACAAACAAAAAAAATATTCAGCAGCCCATCATGATAATAACTAACAACAAATTAGGCATAGAACGAATATACCTTAACATAATAAAGGCCACATATGACAGTCCCAAAACTGACATCATACTGAATGGGGAAACACTGAAAACTTTTTCTCTAAGAACTGGAACAAGACAAAGGTGCCCATTTTCATCACTCCTACTCAACATAGTACTGGAAGTCCTAGCCAGAGCAATCAGGCAAGAGAAATAAATAAAAGGCATCCAAATTAGATAATAGGAATATGCTCTTATGCCTAGAAAAAATTAAAGGCTCCACCAAAAAAACTCTCAGATTTAGTAAATGAATTCAATAAAGTTGCAGGATGCAAAATCAATGTACAAAAAATCAGTAGCATTTCTACATACCAATAATGACCTAGCTGAGAAGGAAATCAAGAAGGCAATCTCATTTACAACAGCTACAAAAAAAGCATATAGTAACACATTTAGCCAAGGAGGTGAAAGATATTTACAAGGAAAACTACAAAACACTGACAAAAGAAATTGAAGAGGACATCAAAAAATGGGAAAACGTCCCATGCTCATGGATCAGAATTAACATCATTAAAATGACCATATTGCCCA
This sequence comes from Homo sapiens, assembly GCF_000001405.40. Taxonomy (NCBI): domain Eukaryota; kingdom Metazoa; phylum Chordata; class Mammalia; order Primates; family Hominidae; genus Homo; species Homo sapiens. Next base: position 91,725,068 of record NC_000007.14, read on the forward strand.
AAGCAATCTACAGATTCAGTGCAATCCCTATCAAAATACCAATGTCATTCTTCACAGAATTAGAAAGATCAATCCTAAAATTCTTATGGAACCACAAAAGAACCCAAATGCCAATGCAATCCCGACAAAACAAACAAAGCTGGAGGCATCACACCATCTGACTTCAAAATATACTACAAAGCTAGAGTAACCAAAACAACATGGTACCGGCAGAAAACCAGACACATTGACCAATGAAACAGAATAGAAAACCCAGAAATAAAGCCACATATTTACAACCAAATGATTTTTGACAAAGATGCCAAGAACACACATTCAGAAAAGGACAGCCTCTTCAAATATGAGAAAATTGGATACCCATATACAGAAAAATGAAGTGGGACCCCTATGTCTCACCATATACAAAAATTGACTCAAAATGTATTAAAGACTTACAAGTAAGATCCAAAACTATAAAAGACATGGGGAAATGCTCAGGACATTGGTCTAAGTAAAGATTTTGTGGCTAATACTTTAAAAGCACAGGGAGCAAAAACAAAAATAGACAAATGGGACTACATAAAACTACAAAGTTTCTGCACAGCAAAGAAAATGATCAACAGATTAAAGAGACAACTTTCTGAATGGGAGAAAATATTTGCAAACTATACATGTGACAAAGGATTAATATTCAGAATATACAAGGAACTCAAACAACTCTATGACAAAAACAAAAAAACAAAACAAATAATCCCATTAAGAAGCAGGCAAAGGATTTAAATAGACATTTCTCAAAAGATGACATAAAAATGGCCAACAGATGTATATTTTTTTAAATGCTCAATATCACTAATCAGGGAAATGCAAAGCGAAACCTCAGTGAAATACCATCTCATCTCACACACAATGGCTTTTATCAAAAAGACAAAAAATAACAGATGCTAGTGAGGATGCAGAGAAAAGAGGACTCTTATACGCTCTTGTGAGAATGTAAATTATACCAACCATTATGGAAAACAGCATGGAGATTTCTCAAAAACAGAAATAAATAAATAAAACTAATAAACTACCATATAATCCAGCAATCTCACTACTGAATATTTTTCCAAAGAAAAGGAAATCAGTATATAAAAAGAATACCTGCACCCCATGCTTACTGCAGCACTATTTATAATATCCAAGATATGGAATCAATCTAAGTGTCCATCACCAGATAAATGGATAAATAAAATGTGGAGCTGAGCTTGGTGGTTTATGCCTTGTAATCCCAGCACCTTATGAGGCCTAGATGGGAGGATCACTTCAGCCCACGAGTGTAAGACCAGCCAGAGCAATATAGTGAGACCTTGTCTCTACAAAAGAAAATTTTTTTAATTATCCAAGCATGATGGCACATGCCTGTAGTTCCAGCTACTTGGGAGGCTGAGGTGGGAGGGTGGCTTGAGCCCAGGAGGTCAGGGCTGCAGTGAGCCATGATCATGCCACTGCACTCCAGCCTGGGTGACAGAGCAAGACCCTTCCTCAAAAAAAAAAAAAAAAAAAAAAAAGATATGCATACACAGGGGAATACTATTCTGCCATAAAAAATAATGAAATCTTGTTATTTGCAGCAACAAAGATAGAGCTGGAGGTTACTATATTAAGTGAAATAAGCCAAGCTCAGAAAGGCAGATATAAGATGTTCTCATCCATATGTGAGAGCTAAAAAAGTTAATCTCCTGACGGTAGAGAGTAGAATGAGGCCTGGCATAGTGGCTCATGCCTGTAATTCCAGCACTTTGGGAGGTCAAGTCAGGTGAATCACTTGAGGTCAGAAAAGACCGGCCTGGCCAACATGGTGAAACACCATCTCTACTAAAAATACAAAAATTAGCCTGGCATGGTGGGTGCCTGTAATCTCAGCTACTTGGGAGGCTGAGGCACGAGAATCACTTGAACCCATGAGGCAGAAGTTGCAGTGAGCTGAGATCATGCCACTGCACTGCAGCCTGGGCAAGAAAGCAAGACCCCATCTCCAAAAAAAAAAAAAAAAAAAAAGAGTAGAATGATGGTTACCAAAGGCTGGGAAGGGTTTGAGGCTAGGGTGGTAATGAAAAGAGGTTGGTTAATGGGTATACAAATGATAGAAGGAATGAATTCTAGTGTTCAAAAGCACAATAGGGTGACTATAGTTAACAATAATTTATTGTATATTTCAGAACAGCTAGAAGGGTTGAAATGTCTTCAACATAAAGAAATGATAAATGTCTGAACTGATGGATATCATAAATACCCTGATTTAATTATTACATACTGTATGCATGTATCAAATTATTACATATGCCCCATAACTATGTACAATTATTATGTAATAAGTAAGAAAAGAAGACTACTTGCATATCTGGACCTGAGAGGGAAGGCAAGCACAAGGAAGTCTGGCAATGAGGTGAGAGCATCATAGAACAAAGGACAGCACAGCAAATTTTACCTGGTCTTCTCTATAATTAAGAGGAACCCATCTTAAACTTCAAACGGGGTACAGTTTCAAAGTAGGCAAACCAAGGAAAAAGACTCCAAAGAATTCTTTAAAATGTAGCTCGGCCAACTGGGTTACTATGTGCCCTAAAAAAGTCAGTCTATTCCAGAAACCATGTTAGATTTCATGATCCTCCTTGAACTTAGATATAGAACTTATAGATTTAGATCAGAATTTCTCAAACTCATGTTTGTTAACCCATTTGGAGGTATTTGCATGTTCTCTATTGAAATATATCATTGAGAATTTATTAACTTAGGGTATTCAGTTTGCTGATAATCTAGAGTAAACATATTCTGGGTAATCTGGGTAGCTACGTGGTAACAAAATGCCACCTCACAGGTCCAGTTTGCCTTTGTGTTTGCAGTCAGATTGTTGCCAAGGAGTCCCACTTTAATTGACTCCAGCTATTTAGCAATTAACAGAGGTAGAGTCAGAGGTGAATAAAACTTTTGCTTCAAATGACTTCACAGTGCACTGGAGGAATGCAAGTGTTTCATTATTTCGAACAGAAAAGAGTACTGAGAAAATTGCATCTTTTCTTAGCACCCAGTGGGAAAGGCGGACCAAACCCAAGAGAACCTGAGCCATAGTCACTAACACTATGTTTCATATTAAAGTACTTATGTTAATTTACAGTTTGTTAATTTTGCAGAGGAGATAGTTGGATGTAATTTGTACATTTGTTTTGATAAGAGCTACAAGCTATTAGAGCAGAAAGCATAAGTTTGTGCTTACTTTCAGTTTGTACATATTTAAGGAGTATTTGAATTTAAAGGATTATATCAACAATAGAATAGTAAAAGAATTTTTAAGGGGTTCAATACATGTGAACAGTTTTAATCATGTGAAAGATGTTCCTCATCATTCATGAGACACGAAAATTAAAATTACAATGAGATTTTCTTTCTTTAACACCTTATAAAAAATGGCAAACCTTTTCACATATACACTTCCTATCACCTGCCCTGTTTTTCTTTCTCCAGAGCACGTGTCATTAACATAATTGTATTTTGCTTATTTATCACATTTATTGCCTACCTTTTTTTCCATTGTACTTTCCCCCAGAATTTTTTTTTTTTTTTTTTTTTTTTTTGAGACAGAGTCTCGCTCTGTCAGCCAGGCTGTAGTGCAGTGGTATGATCTCAGCTCACTGCAACCTCTGTCTCCCGGGCTCTAGCAGTTCTGCCTCAGCCTCCCGAGTAGCTGGGATTACAGGTGTGTGCCATCATGCCCAGCTAATTTTTGTATTTTTGGTAGAGAAGGGATTTCACCATGTTGACCAGGCTGGTCTTGAACTCCTGACCTCAGGTAATCTGCCCACCTCCGCCTCCCAAAGTGCTGGAATTACAGGTGTGAGCCACCAGCCACCTTCCCCCAGAATTTAAGCTTCATAAAAATAGAATTCTGACCACCTTATCCACTGTAGCCTCCTCAGTTGCCTATAATGATGTGCAGCACATAAGAGTCACTGTATTATTTGCAGAGGGAAGGAAGGGAGGAAGGGAGGAAGGAAGGAAGGGAGGAAGGAAGGAAGGGAGGAAGGAAGGAAGGGAGGAAGGAAGGAAGGAAGGAAGGGAAGGGAAGGGAAGGGAAGGGAAGGGAGGGAGGGAGGGAGGGAGATGATCCAGCAATTCCCCTTTGAGGCACAGACCCTGCCGAAACTCTGTCATAGAGACATGCACGAAGCAGTACCATTTGCAGCAGAAGAAAATTGGAAAAACCCTAAATGTCCTCAATAAAGGAATGAATAATTGCATCCTGTGTTTATACAAGGGAACTTAAAAATTAACATGAATTAAATTGATTGACATGGCTAAAAATCAAAAACTTTGCTGGGAGAAAAAGGTAAATTACAAAATACATGTGCAGTAATGTATAAATGCCCAGATAGACAAGTTCTCCTCCGAGTAAGGACAAGCTGAAGAGAGGGAGGAGATGGAGGGAATGGTAAGGACAAATGGAGAACTTTGATTCTATCTGTCGTTTTTATTACTCTAGAATTTTTTACCTAAGAAAATATGGCAAAAAGTAATACTTGCTAAATCTGAGTAGTGGGTACATGGGTGCGTGTTCTATGTTTCTCTGTATTTTTCTGTTAAAAGTGTTTCTTAATTTTTAAAGCACTCAATATAAGTAAAAATGGCTGTTTCTTTTCCTGCATTAATAAGTAGCCCCCCTCTATAATAATGATAATGATAGTGATGATGATCATGATGATGATGATGATGGTTTTCTCTCTTCCTATCCTCTTTTTCTAAGTCCTTTTATTAACATCTACTATTTTATTTCTCTTTATATCATGCTTCTTTCCCCCAAAAAAATTGATATGGCTTAAAACAATAGATATGAGTTACAATCTAACATTTCTTTTAAAGTAAAATGTACATAAGATAGCTATTAAAGTAAATAGTAATGCTACAATTGAGCTTTAAATTTTTCTCCAAGCTTCTTGAAGCTGGAATGACAAACATACACAACCAAGCAATTATGTAGCTCTCATTATTTAAAAGGATACCTTGAGAAAGACAAAGTTTTTCCTGGAATTAAATTCTCAAAGAAATCTCTTCTGTATGATTTCATTTCCAGGACACTAACATGGACAATTTCCTCCAGAGCATTTTTGCTAAAATCTAAAGTTGACTTCATATGCTTTTTCTTGCAACCACTTTTTTAAAAAGCTGAAGACATAGCATCTTAGTACAGTTCTAGGAAAGGCATTCATTCTTTAGAAGCTAAAGTAACATATGCCTTTAGTCATCCAACTAAATCCAAAGATAAAATATGAAAATAGGCAGGAAGCATGTCTCTTACATAATTGTCCCTTAATATAATTTTCTTTAGACAAGCTATTGATAGATAGAAACCAAACATTCATCAATTAAAAATTATAGTCACATACCAGGACCTGCCGCTAAGTTACTGAGCAAGGGTGGGTAGCTTTATTAAGTATCATTTGCCTCCTTTAGAAATAACTAGAAAAAGAAAATTGTAAAATAAATACCTGATTCATCATAAGTTCTAACTGGCAAGATTCTATGTTTTCTTTTAGATTTGTCTATTCTTTAAGCCTAAAAGAAAAGCTACACAGAGTCCTAAGTCCAGATTTTGTGGGCCAGGGATTATGCCTGCCAGAGGATGCTGCGGTTTACTAGCAGCATTTTTGTACTTTTTCTTTTTTTTTTTTTTTTTTTTTTTTTTTTTTTTTTTTTTTTTTTTTTTGAGACAGAGTCTCACTCTGTCACCCAGGCTGGAGTGCAGTGGCGCGATCTCAGCTCACTGCAAGCTCCGCCCTCCGGGTTCACGCCATTCTCCTGCCTCAGCCTCCCGAGTAGCTGGGACTACAGGCACCCGCCACCATGCCCGGCTAATTTTTCTGTATTTTTAGTAGAGATGGGGTTTCACTGTGTTAGCCAGGATGATCTCGATCTCCTGACCTCGTGACCCGCCAGCCTCGGCCTCCCAGGTACATATTTTTAAATGCCTGTAGTGTAAGCATACATTTCTGGGATTCAGGTTTGGGTTAGTCCCAATAAAAGACTGTAATTGAAGGCTCACTTATCCATTGACTATTTCTGTTACTACCAATAAAATAAGGGAATGACAACTAATATCCAACAACACTGAACATAAGGTAGAAAATCAAGTAAAGCTAGAAAGAGCTTGTGATAATAATAATCACTTCCATTTATATCACCCTTTCACCCTTTTATGCATGGTCTCATCTAATCCTCACAAGAACCCTGAGAGATGGATAACTGTAACAAAATTTAACAGTAATCATAACAAAATTTTAACAGTGGTACTGAAGCTTAGGGCAACTTGATGACTTGACCCAAATCAGAAAGCTGATCTATAGTATGGGTCAGGACCTGAACCCATGAGTTGTGGCTGCAAACCCAGCTACCTTGTAGTTCCAGGATAACCATGCACTCTGTAGTTAGAGATCCAAGGTACACTATTGTTACCTCTTCTCTTTGAAGGACAAAGCTTTGTGATCTTCATTCCATCTTCACATGGTTGGGAGGGTCATGCATGGATGTCTCTCTGTAGATCTTCACCACACCAACCCTCTCTGATAGAGTAACAAAGCTTTCTTCAGAATCATATCATCTCTTAAATGTGGTAACCAACCATACAGAGGGAATGAATGTTGTTTGGGGAAGATTTTTTTTCAAGGTTCTTTAATAAATTGAAGTTGCAATTAATAAAATCAGAAACATGAGCAGACATACATCTAAAAGCTGACAGGCCATCATATCCTGAGTGATAGGTGAAAGAGATAGTCTTCCTAGGTTGAGGTTCATAATTTTTAATAGGTTTACAAGCAGATTCACAAGGATTCTATTCAAACAAAAGTTATGTTTCTTTACTTTTGAGTTTGTTTCTCCTACATTTGTACTCAGTGCTATGGGATAAAATCAATTTCTTCAAATATGGAATTTAGCTTCGTGCTTATTTAATAATTAATGGTAATCTAAAAATCATAGAGCTTTTCAGACCGGAGTTTGTTGTATTTTCAGCCTCCCTCGTCTAAAGCTACTCTCAGTGGAGGAAGGAACCAGAGGAATGGCTGCCCTCGCTAAATCAGTGTGAGAAGGTCTGGGAACACACTGCACAATGTAACAGAACATTCTTTTCCACAAGTGTCAGAATCACTTATCTTCAAATACTAGATCAACGCAGCTAGAGAACTGGGGGAACTTGGAGCCCAAAAATATAATACATAGCTTGCTTAATTTTAAACCAATATTTTCCTCCACTTACCCAAATGCATAAGGCATACTATTTTCTGCCCCCCAAAATTCATTTTGTTTTATTTCACTCTCTCAAACTGACAAACAGGCATTATACCTGATACAGACTATATTTTAATAGCGTCTAACCTCTCCTGGTTAAACAAGTGTCTGTTTCAAATCCGTCATCATATATGTGACTCCTGCACATAATGTTGCTCTAAAAAAGGAATGTCCTGGTATCAGCAAAATACATAACCCCATAGATATTAAAACAACCACCCAACTGCAATCAGTTATATGGAGTCTTCACTTCTTTTTAAAAAAGGATATTTAATCACTGAAATAAGACCCAGGTACCACACTACACACTTAGTTGGGACTTAAAGTGCCTGAGTTTTATGAGAATGGCAAAGCTAGTGTGAAAAACTACAGCACAACAGAAGGAAGAAATCTCTCTGCTGGAAGGGGACACTTTTGTGTCCACATCTCATAGCCTAAGTTTAATATCAGCATGACTCATTTTTAAAACTCCACCTTTCTCAGTGATAATTTATGTTTTAATTTTTAATTTTTGTGAGCACATAGTAGGTGTATATATTTATGAGTTACATGAGATATTTTGATACAGGCATGCAATGTGTAATCACACCAGGATAAATTGGGTATCCATCATCTCAAGTGTTTATCTTTTATATTACAAACAATCTGATCCAATATATACAAGAGTATAATCCAATTATAGTCTTTTAGTTATCTTTAAGTGTGCAGTTACATTATTTTTACTATAGTCACCCTGTTGTACTAGCAAATACTAAGACTTATTCATTCCTTCTAAATATTTTTTGTACCCATTAACTATCTCTACTTTCTCCACCCTCACCCCCTGCAACACCCTTCCCAGCCTCTAGTAATCATCCTTCTACTCTCTTTCTCCAAGAGTTTAATTAATTTTTAACTCCCACAAATGAGTGAGAACATGTGACGTTCGTCTATCTGTGTCTGGCTTATTTCACTTAAGATAATGACCTCTACACAAGGAGAAGTTGGTACCATTCCTTCTGAAACTATTCCAATCAAAAGAAAAAGAGGAAATCCTCCCTAACTCATTTTATGAGGCCAGCATCATCCTGATACCAAAGCCTGGCAGAGACACAACAAAAAAACAGAATTTTAGACCAATATCCTTGATGAACAGCGATGCAAAAATCTTCAATAAAATACTGGCAAACCGAATCCAGCAACACATCAAAAAGCTTATCCACCATGATCAAGTGGGCTTCATCCCTGGGATGCAAGGCTGGTTCAATATACGCAAATCAATAAACATCACCCAGCATGTAACAGAACCAACAACAAAAACCACACGATTATCTCAATAGATGCAGAAAAGGCCATTGACAAAATTCAACAACGCTTCATGCTAAAAGCCCTCAATAAATTAGGTATTGATGGGATGTATCTCAAAATACTAAGAGCTTTTTATGACAAACCCACAGCCAATATCATACTGAATGGGCAAAAACTGGAAGCATTCCCTTTGAAAACTGGCACAAGACAGGGATGCCCTCTCTCACCACTCCTATTCAACATAGTGTTGGAAGTTCTGGCCAGGGCAATCAGGCAGGAGAAGGAAATAAAGGGTATTCATTTAGGAAAAGAAGAAGTCAAATTGTCCCTATTTGCAGATGACATGATTGTATGTCTAGAAAACCCCATTGTCTCAGCCCAAAATCTCCTTAAGCTGATAGGCAACTTCAGCAAAGCCTCAGGATACAAAATCAATGTGCAAAAATCACAAGCATTCTTATACAGCAATAACAGACAAACAGAGAGCCAAATCATGAGTGAATTCCCATTCACAATTGCTTCAAAAAGAATAAAATACCTAGGAATCCAACTTACAAGGGACGTGAAGGACCTCTTCAAGGAGAACTACAAACCACTGCTCAATGAAATAAAAGAAGATACAAACAAATGGAAGAACATTCCATGCTCATGGGTAGGAAGAATCAATATTGTGAAAATGGCCATACTGCCCAAGGTAATTTATAGATTCAATACTATCCCCATCAAGCTACCAATGACTTTCTTCACAGAATTGGAAAAAACTACTTTAAAGTTCATATGGAATCAAAAAAGAGCCCACATTGCCAAGTCAATCCTAAGCCAAAAGAACAAAGCTGGAGGCATCATGCTACCTGACTTCAAACTATACTATAAGGCTACAGTAACCAAAACAGCATGGTACTGGTACCAAAACAGAGATATAGACCAACGGAACAGAACAGAGCCCTCAGAAATAATGCCACATATCTACAACTATCTGATCTTTGACAAACCTGACAAAAACGAGCAATGGGGAAAGGATTCCCTATTTAATAAATGGTGCTGGGAAAACTGGCTAGCCATATGTAGAAAGCTGAAACTGGATCCCTTCCTTACAAAAATTAATTGAAGATGGATTAAAAACTTAAATGTTAGACCTAAAACCATAAAAACCCTAGAAGAAAACCTAGGCAACACCATTCAGGACATAGGCATGGGCAAGGACTTCATGTCTAAAACACCAAAAGCAATGGCAACAAAAGCCAAAATTGACAAATGGGATCTAATTTAACTGAAGAGCTTCTGCACAGCAAAAGAAACTACCATCAGAGTTAACAGGCAACCTACAGAATGGGAGAAAATTTTTGCAATCTACTCATCTGACAAAGGGCTAATATCCAGAATCTACAATGAACTCAAACAAATTTACAAGAAAAAAACAAACAACCCCATCAACAAGTGGGCAAAGGATATGAACAGACACTTCTCAAAAGAAGACATTTATGCAGCCAAAAGACACATGAAAAAATGCTCATCATCACTGGCCATCAGAGAAATGCAAATCAAAACCACAATGAGATACCATCTCACACCAGTTAGAATGGCGATCATTAAAAAGTCAGGAAACAACACGTGCTGGAGAGGATGTGGAGAAACAGGAACACTTTTACACTGTTGGTGGGACTGTAAACTAGTTCAACCATTGTGGAAGTCAATGTGGCGATTCCTCAGGGATCTAGAACTAGAAATACCATTTGACCCAGCCATCTCATTACTGGGTATATACCAAAAGGATTATAAATCACGCTGCTATAAAGACACATGCACACGTATGTTTATTGTGGCACTATTCACAATAGCAAAGACTTGGAACCAACCCAAATGTCCAACAATGATAGACTGGATTAAGAAAATGTGGCACATATACACCATGGAATACTACGCAGCCATAAAAAATGATGAGTTCATGTCCTTTGTAGGGACATGGATGAAGCTGGAAACCATCATTCTCAGCAAACTATCACAAGGACAAAAAACCAAACACCACATGTTCTCACTCATAGGTGGGAATTGAACAATGAGAACACATGGACACAGGAAGGGGAACATCACACACCGGGGCCTGTTGTGGGGTGGGGGGAGGGGGGAGGGATAGCATTAGGAGATATACGTAACGTTAAATGATGAGTTAATGGGTGTAGCACACCAACATGGCACATGTATGCATATGTAACAAACCTGCACATTGTGCACATGTACCCTAAAACTTAAAGTATAATTAAAAAAAGAATGTTACAGAAAAAAAGATAATGACCTCTAGTTCCATCCATGTTGTTGCAAATCACCAGATCTCATTCTTTTTTATGACTGAATAGTACTCCATTGTGTATATGTGCCACATTTTCTTTATCCATTCATGTGTTGTGGAACTTAGGTTGTTTCAAAATCTTGGTTATTATGAATAGTGCTGTAATAAACATAAGAGTGCAGATATCTCTTTGATATCCTCCTTTCCTTTCTTTGGGGTGTGCCCTTGCAGTGGGATTGCTGGATCATATGGTAGCTCTATTTTTAGTCTTTTGGTGAACCTCGAAACTATTCTCCATAGTGATTGTACTAATTTACATTCCAAACAACAGTGCACAAGGGTTCCCTTTTCTCCACATCCTTGGCAGCATTTGTTATTGCCTGACTTTGGGATATAAGCTGTTTTAACTGGGGTGAGATGATAGCTCATTGTAGTTTTGATTTGCATTTCTCTGATGATCAATGATGTGGTACACCTTTTCATATACCTGTCTGCAATTTGTATTTCTTCTTTTCAGAAATGTCTGTTCAAATCTTTTGCCCATTTTTAAATTGGATTATTAGATTTTTTCCTATAGAGTTGTTTGAGATCCTTATATATTCTGGTTATTAACTTATCGGTTAGGTAGTTTGCAAATATCTTCTCCTATTCTGTGGATTGTCTCTGCGCTTCAACGACTGTTTCCTTTGCTGTGCAGAAGCTTTTTAACTTGATGTGATCCCATTTGTCCATTTTTGCTTTGGTTGCCTGTGCTTGTGGGGTATTATTCAAGAACTCTTTGCCCAATCTAGTGTCCTGGAGAGTTTCCCCGAAGTTTTCTTTCAGTAGTTTCATAGTTTGAGGTCTTAAATTTTAGTCTTTAATCTATTTTGACTTGATTTTTGTATATGGCGAGAGATAGTGGTCTTGTTTCATCCTTCTGTATGTGGATATCCAGTTTTCCTGGCATCATTTATTGAAGAGACTGTCCTTTCCCCAATGTATGCTCTTAGAACCTTTGTCAAAAATGAGTTCACTGTAGATGTAAGAATTTATCTATGGTTTCTCTATTCTGTTCCACTGATCTACATGTCTGATTTTATGCCAGTACCATGCTGTTTGGGTTACTATAGCTCTGTAGTGTAATTTAAACTGAGGTAATGCAATTCCTTCAGTTTTGTTCTTTTTGCTTAGGATATCTGTGGTCATTCTGGGTCTTTTGTGATAGCATGTAAGTTTTAGGATTGTTTTTACTATTTCTGTGAATAATGTCATTGGCATTTTGATAGTGATTGCATTAAATCTATAGATTGCTTTGGGTAGTATGGACATTTTGACAATATTGATTCTTCTAACCATGAACATGGAATATTTTCCCATTTTTTTGTGTGTCCTCTTCAATTTCTTGCATCAATGTTTTACAGTTTTCATTGTAAAGATCCTTCACTTCTCTGGTTAATTCCTAGGTATTTTATTTTACATGTAGCTATTGTAAATAGGATTGGTTTCTTAATTTCTTTTTCAGATTGTTTGTGGTTGGCATATAGAAATGCTACTGGCTTTTTATGTTGATTTTGTATCCTGCAATTGTACTGAATTTGTTTATCATTCTACTATTTTTTAGTGGAGCCTAGGTTTTTCCAAATATAAGATCATATCATCTGCAAATAAGGATAATTTGGCTTCTTCCATTCCAATTTTGGATGTCCTTTACTTCTTTCTCTAGTCTGATTGCTCTAGCTCGGACTTCCAGTACTATGTTGAATAACAGTGGTGAAAGTGGTCATCCTTATTGTGTTGATCTGAAGTGAAGGCTTTCAGTTTTTTCCCATTCAGTATGATACTAGCTGGAGTCTGTCATATACGGCTTTTATTATGTTGAGGTATGCCTTCTATACCCAGTTGTTTGAGGAGTTTTGACTTGAAGGGATGTTGAATTTTATCAAATGTTTTTTCAGCATCAACTGAAATGATCATATAGTTTTTGTCCTTCATTCTTTTGATACAACGTATCACATTAATTGATTTGCATATGTGGAATCATCCTTATGTCCCTGGGAAAAATCCCACTTGCTTGTGATGAATGATCTTTTTAATGTGTTGTTTAATTTGGTTTGCTAGTATTTTGTTGAGGATTTTCCCATCAATGTTCATCAGGAATATTTGCCTGTAGTATTGTGTGTGTGCGCGTGTGTGTGTGTGTGTGTGTGTTTGTGTGTGTGTGTGTCTGGTTCAGGTATCAGGGTAATACTGGCCTTGTAGAATGAGTTTGGAAGTATTCCCTCCTCCTCAATCTTTGTCAGAATAGTCTGAGTAGGATTGGCAGTAGTTCTTTAAACATTTGGAAGAATACAGTAGTGAAGTCATCAGGTCCTAGGTTTTTTTTTATGGGAGACATTTTATTATGGCTTTAATCTTATTACCTGTTACTGGTCTGTCAAGGCTTTGGATTTCATAATTCGATCTTGGTAGGTTGTAAGTGTGTAGGAATTTATCCATTTCTTCTAGATTTTCCAATTTGTTGGCATATAGTTGCTCATAGTAGCCACTAATGGGCCTTTGAATTTCTGCAGTATCGGTTGTAATGTCTCTTGTTTCATTTTTGATTTTTTTATTTGGGTCTTCTATATCTTTTTCTTGGTTAGTCTGGCTAAAGGTTTGTAAATTTTGTTTAGCTTTTCAGAAAACCAACTTTTGTTTCATTGATCTTTTGTATTATTTTCATTTCAAATTCATTCATTTCTGCTCTGATCTTTATTATTTCTTTTCTTCTATTAATTTTGGGTTTGGTTTGCTCTTGCTTTTCTAGTTCTTTAAGATGCAGTGTTAGATTGTTTATTTGAAGTTTATCCTCTTTTTGATGGAAAGAGTTTTTCTCTTCCTCTTTGATAAGGGACTTATGGCTATAAACTTCTTAGTACTCCTTTTGTTGTGTCCCATAGGTTTGGTTATGTCATGTTTCCATTATCATTTGTGTCTGGAAATTTTTCCATTTTCTTCTTAATTTCTTCATTGACTCACTGGTTATTCAGGAGCATATTGTTTAATTTCCATGTGTTTGCAGTACCCAAAGTTCCTCTTGTTATTGATCTCTGGTTTTATTCCATTATGGTCAGAGAAAATGCTTGATATTATTTCAACTTTTTGAATGTTTTAAGACTTGTTTTGTGAACTAACATATGGTCTATCCTTGAAAATGATCCATGTGCTGAGGAAAAGAATTTGTACTCAGCATCTGTTGGATGAAATGTTCTGTAAATATCTATTAGGTCCATCTGTACAGACTAAACCCATTGTTTCCTTGCTGAGTTTCTGTCTGGAATATTTGTCCAATGCTGGAAGTAGGGTATTGAAGTCTCCAGCTATTATTGTATTAGGGCCTATCTGTCTCTTTCTAGCTTTAGTAATATTTGCTTTATACATCTGGGTGCACCAGTGTTGGGTGCATATATATTTTAAATTGTTATATACTCTTGCTGAATGGACCCCTTTATCATTTTACACTTACTTTCTTTGTTTCTTCTTATAATTTTTGTCTTGAAATCTATTTTGTCTGATATAAATATAGTGACTCCTGGTCCTTTTTGGTTTCCATTGGCATGGAATAACTTTTTCTATCGCTTTATTTTCAGTCTATGTATATCTTTATAGATGAAGTGTGTTTCTTGTAGGCAATAGATCATTGGTTCTTGGTTTTTTATCCATTCAGCCACTCTATGTCTTTTGACTGGCAAGTTTAGTCCATTTACATTCAATGTTGTTATAAATAAGTAAAGATTTACTCCTGCCATTTTGTTATTTGTTTTTTGTTTATTTTGTGAGCTTCTCATCCTTCTTTCCTTCCTTCCTGCCTTCCTTCTCATGAAGTTAATTTTCTCTGGTGGTATGATTTAATTTATTGCTTTTTATTTTTTGTGTATTTATAATATGTCTTGATTTGAGGTTACCATGCGGCTTGCAATTACTATCTTATAACCCATTATTTTAAGCTAAGAACAACTTAACACTATTTGCATAAACAAACAAACAAGCAAAAAGAAAACTAATAAAAACTCTACCCCTCAACTTTATCCCCCCGCTTCTTAACTTTTTGTTGTTTCTATTTATATCTTATTGTAGTGTCTACATCTTGAAAAGTTTTTGTGGTTATTATTTTCGATTGGTTCATCTTTTAGTATTTCTACTTGAGTAGTTTACACACCACAGTTACAGTGTATAACTGTATGAACTACTCTTATCTTACCCACCAAAGTCTATGGTGTGTAAACACAGACTTTATAATAGTCTGTGGGGTTTTTTCTGTACTTACTATTACCAGTGACTTTTGTACCTTCAGATGATTTTTTATTGCTCATTAATGTCCTTTTCTTTCTGATTGAAGTACTCCCTTTAGCATTTCTTGAAGGACACGTCTGGTGTTCATGAAATCCCTCAGCTTTTGTTTGTCTAGGAAAGTCTTTATTTTCTCCTTCGTGTTTGAAGGATATTTTCACCAGATATAGTATTTTAGGGTAAAAGGTCTTTTCCTTCAGCACTTTAAATATGTCATGCCACTCTCTCTTGACCTGTAAGACTTCCACTGAAAAGTCTGGTGCCAGATGTATTGGAATCCCATTGTAAGCTATTTGCCTCTGTTCTCTTCCTGCTTTTAGGATCCTTTCTTTATCCTTGACTTTAGGGAGTTTGCTTATTAAATCCCTTGAGGTAGTCTTCCTTAGGTAAATTTGCTTGGTGTTCTATAAACTTCTTGTACTTGGCTATTGATATCTTTCTCTAGGTTTGGGAAGTGCTCTATTATTATCCCTTTGAATAAACTTTCCCTATCTCTTTCTCTACTTCCTCCTTAAGGACAATAACTCTTAGATTTGCCCTTTTGAGAGCATTTTCTAGATCCTGTAGGTGTACATCATTGTTTTTATTGTTTTTTCTTTTGTCTCCTCTGACTTTTATTGTTTTTTCCTTTTGTCTTCTCTCAGTCAGCTTGTGGTGAATGCTGCCAGGTCTGGGACTCACCCTTCAGAGTGGTAAATTCCCCTCTGGCCCAGGTTAGGTCCAGAAATGCCATCCAAGAGCCAAGGCCTGTCTCCTTGACTGTGTATTTTCAAATAGCGTATCTTCAAGCTCATTAATTCTTTCTTCTGCTTGATCAATTCTGCTATTAAAGACTCTGATGCATTCTTCAGTAAGTCAATTGCACTTTTCAACTCTAGAATTTCTGTTTGATTCTTTTTAATTATTTCAATCTCTTTGTTAAGTTTATTTGATAGAATTCTTAATTCCTTGTCTGTGTTATTTTTAATTTCTTTGAGTTTCCTCAAAATAGCTCTTTTGAATTCTCTTCCTGAACTGTCCCATTCTGTTTTTCTAGGATTGGTCTCCAGTGCCTTATTTAGTTAATTTGGTGAGGTCATGTTTTCCTAGATGGTCTTCATGTGTGTGGATGTTCATCTGTGTCTGGCCATTGAAGAGTTAGATATTTATTGTAGTCTTCACAGTCTGGGCTTGTTTGTATCTGTCCTTCTTGGAAAGGCTTTCTACGTATTTGAAAGGACTTGCGTATTGTGATCTAAGATATATCTGCCTTAGGGGGCACTCCAAGGCCAGTAACACTGTGGTTCTTACAGACTTGTATAGATACTGCCTTGATAGTCTTGGATAAAATTCAGAAGAAATATTTGGATTACCAAGCGAAGACTCTTGTTCTCTTTTCTTACTTTCTCCCAAACAGAGTGTTTCTCTGTTCTGAGCCACCTGGAGCTGGGGGTGGTATGACACAAGCATCTCTGTGCCCATCACCACTATGACTGCATTGGGTCTTACCCAAGACCCACTATAACCACTACCTGGCTACCACCTATTTTCACTCAAGGCCTTAGGGCTCTACAATCAGCAGGTTGGCAAAGCTAGCCAGGTTAGTGTCCTTCCCTTAAAGATGGCAAGTTCCCTCAGGCCCCAGGTTGATCCAGTGGTGCCATCTGGGAGTCAGAGACCGGAATCAAAAACCTTCAAAGTCTCTCTGGTGTTCTATTCTACCATAGCTGAGCCAGCATGCAAACCATGAGATACAGTTCTTCCCACCCTTCCCTCTCCTTTCCACAGGCAGAGGCGCCTCACCCCAGGGCCACCACCATGACAGTCCCATGGGAAGTACCACCAGGCTACGACCAATGTTCCCTTAAGGCCCAAGAACTCTTCAGTCAGCTTGTGGTGAATGCTGCCAAGACTGGGACTCACCCTTCAGAGTGCTAGGCTCCCATCTGGCCCAGGACAGGTCCAGAAATGCTACCCAGGAGCCAAAGCCTGGAATCAGGGATCCCAAGAACCCACTTGGTGCTCTACCCCTCTGTGGCCAAACTAGTGTGTAAGATATGAGAAAAGTCCCATTTGCTTTTCCCTTTGCTTTTCTAAAGCAGGAATCTTTCACCATAGCCACCATAGCTGGGAACTTGCTGGGTCTCACCTGAAGTCAGCACAACCATGAGTCCCACCCAAGGCCCATGGCATACTACCTGGGTATCATTGCTGGGTATTCAGGGCCCAGTGGTTCTTTGGTCAGCAGGTGATGTGTCCTGCTAGTACAGTGTCCTTCCCTTCAAGGAAGCATGAGTTCCCTTTTGGCCTAGAGTATGTCTAGAAATGTCTGGAAACTAGGGTCTGGAATGGGGGCCTCAAAACTCTGCCTGGTACCCTATCCTACTGCAACTAAGCTGGTATCCAAGATGCAAGACAATGCCCTCTTTGCTCTTCCCTCTCCTTTCCTCAGGTGGAAGAAAGGGGTCTCTTTCGGAGCCATGAGCTGGGGTTTTGGGGAGGGGTGGCACAAGCACTCCTCTTAGCCACACTGGCTGCTATCTCAGTAGGTCACCTGCCCCCAAGCCCACTGGGCCTGAGCCCAGTTCGGCATTAGGACTCACCTAGGAGTTGCAGTCCTTGTGGCCTAGACTGCCTTTCAAGTTTAGTTAGAGTCCCAGAGTACTTTAGCTCATGGTGGCAAGGCTTACAGGAACTCAAGTTCCAATGGCTGGAATGAGTGATTCCCCTCTGACTAGAGCTGGTTTAAATACTCCCGCCATGGATGGGCATTAGCTGAGTTCAGCCCAGCACCGAGTTCAATGCAATGTTTCACAATTGCTGTACTCTCCCTCTCCCAAGAACACAGATTCTCATTGCCACGCAGCTTCAGCCACAGGATGGGAAAGGAGTGGTGTCAGCAATTCAAGACTGCCTTTCCTACCCTCTTCAGTGTCTCTTTCAGCAACACAAAGTTAAAACCAGGTACTGTGAGTGTTCACCTGACTTTTGGTTCTTATGAAGGTGCTTTATGTGTAGATAATTGTTAAATGTGGTGTTCCAGCAGGGGAGATAATCAGTTGAGCCTTCTATTTGGCCATCCCGCTCTGCCTCCATAATTTATATTTTCTAGAGCAAGAGAAAGAGTGCTAAGAGTGCTAAGATCAATGAAACACCTTGCCTGAACAACCATAAAACATCCAATTTAGAGCTAACACTGTTGCTTAGTGACAACCAGAAGCCTGTTATTTGTCAAATTTAAATTTTAAGGTATCATTTTAATTAATGCATTGTGTTTATCTTGGGCCTGCTAAAAGTTCTTTGGTGTAGCATTATGTAGAGTAAAATCAGGGACTTGGGGAGAGGGGTCAATTCCTACACAGCAAAGAATCACATCACTGTTCAAGGAAGATGACTGCATGTTATCACAGCTCCACTAAGAAGGAGATCCAATGGAAGAATGTGCCTAATTCTTACTGGAATTTACCATTTTTCTCCCTAGGACAAACTACTTAGAGTAGTTATAGCACAGATTCAGGTATTAGAGTAAAAATAAGACAACAGAGGTCACTTAGTGTAACCTCCCACCCAAGAGCTTAACCCTACCTATAACATTCAGTCATTTATTCAACAAATATTTTCAGTACCTACTATGCACCAGCCACTATAATAGACACTTTTAATGCATTCTAAACATGAGAGGCAAGTATCCCAAACTCATAAATATAACAACATAATCAATGAGACAAAGTACATGTGTTTACTAACACATGAATAATTACAGATTTTGATACAGTCTTAGAAAGAAATGAACAAATGCTTGGATTGAGAACAACATAGGGCAGAGGGAATCCAGTCACAGACAGGATGGTCAGGTAAGTCTTCTCTAGAAAGGTGACATTTGAGCTGACTTCTGAAAAAGAAGAAACATGCCATGCAAGGAGCTGATGAAAAAGTATTCCAGTTAAATGAAACAGCCAGTGCAAAGACTCTGTAGGAATAAGTGTTTATAGCAAAGTGAGAAAAGGGAAAGAGGTGAAGTTGAAGAACTGAGCAGAGGTTAGACAATGCTTCCCTGTTGACCATGAGAGAAAGTTTGGACTATACATCAAATACAATAGGAAAACTTTAAACAGGGTAATGGCAGGATGTGATTTATACTGAAAAGAGAGCTCCACCATATATCATCCCTTCTGGCATAGGAATGCCCCTATGTAAACTGGCAAGCTAGGTACAAGTTGCTTTAGAACATTCAGACTCCTTCATAGCCCAGGTGATTACCATATTTTTTTAAAGTAAGAATATGTGCATATAGTTCATCCTGTAATAATAGTATTAATAGTAGTAGTGGTGGTGATGACGATGGTGGTAGTAGTAGCAGCAGCAACAGCAGCTAATAGCTGTTGAGTGCTTACTATATGATCAGTACCATTTTAAATATTTTTAGGTATTAGCTCATCTAATCCTCACAAGCATGCAAGGAAGCAGGCTCAGTTATTATCCCTCTTTTACAAATGAGCAAACTGAAACTACATGCCTATTAAGTAAATATTTTCTTTTCCAATGATTTCTGTTCTTATTTTGTTGCTATAATTCAGCTCAACATGTTTTCTAGTATTTGTTGTGATTTCTTCTTTGACCCAAAATTTATTTAGAAGTGTATTTCTTAATGTATAAACTTCTGAGGATTTCTGGTTCTTTTTTCTATTACTGAATTCTAGTTGAATTCCACTTCAGTGAAAGAACATTGTATAGTATTTCAATTCTTTGAAATTTGTTGAGATTTGTTTTATGTTCCAGTATAGTCTATTTTTATAAATACTCCATGGTTGCCTGAAAATAATGAGCATGCTGCAGTTGTGTATACTGTTCTATAAATGTCAATTAGGTCAAGTTGTTTAACAGTTTTGCTCAAATCTTCATTATTCTTTTTAGCTTTTATGGAGTGTGTTTATCAGTTACTGAGAGAGAGTATTAAAATCTATTTGTCTATTTAATCTTGTCAATCTTTGTTTTATGTATTTTAAAGTTATCTTCGGTATCATTGGTTTTGCCTTCTTATTGAATTGAATCTTTCAACATTAATAAATGTTCCTCTGTATTTTCATTAATATTTTTTGCCTTAAAGTCTACTTTGATATTTTAGACTCACTGACTAGCTTTTGGTGAGTATTTACATGGCATATCTCTTCCATAATTTTACTTTCAATCTATTTGTGACCTTTTATTTAGCAAATTGCTCTCATAAACAGGACATAGTTGGGCCAATCTAACATTTGCCTCTTAGAGTGTTTAGTTTATTTGTATTTCATATAATTGCTGATATACTGGATTTAAGCTTTCTTTTGATTTTTTTTTCTATTTATCTCATCTGCTTTTTGTCCTTTGATCCTGTCTTTTCTATCTTCCTTTGGATTAACTGAGTATTTTTTATTATTCCATTTTTAGCTCCTCTACTAGCTTTATGTATTTTTTGGTGGTTGTCCTAGAGATTGCAATATGCATTCTTGAATTATTTCTAATAATTTTAAATGTATACTTTTCCTATTTCCCTATTGCATCAATCTTAGAATAGTTTAACTCCTTTCCTTCCTCCTGCCCTTTATGCTACTGTTGTCATATGTTTTACTTCTACATGTTATAAAACCTAAGAGACATTTTTATTATTGTTACTTTAAATGGTCAGTATTCTTTTTATTTACTCTTTCTAGCTATGTTCATTCCTTCCTTTAATTTTGTGCTTGTAACATGGTTTGTATTATTTCTTGTATTTCTTTTAATACAGATACAAATTACAAAATCTGAGTTAATTTTTTTCATTTTTTGAAAAATCTTTGCATCACTTTCTTTTTATTTTTTTCACTATTATTTCTGAAGAATATTTTTACTGAGTATAGAATTCTAAGGTGGCAGGGTTTTTTTCCCTGTTAGCACTTTAAAGATGTCATTCCACTGTTTTCTGGCTTTCAGGGTTTCTGTTGAAAGTCAGCCATCAGTGATACTGTTGTTCTTTTGAAGTTAATATATCCTTTTTTTTCTCTGATTTCTTTTAAGATTTTTTTTCTTTATCTTGATTTTAAGTGGCTTTACTGAGGCTGATGTGCATTGGTGGTTTTCTTTATGCCTTTTCTGTGTGGGGTTGACTGAGAAGCTGGATCTGTAAACTTATTTTTCATCAGTTTGGGGAAATTCTTGGTCATTATCTTTTTTCAAATATTGCTTCTACCCATTCTCTATTTCCTCCATCAGGAACTCCACTACATTCATGTTAATCAATTTGACTGGGTCCTATATAGCCCTTGGCCCCCTGTTCTGTTCTTTCTATTCCATTTTCTCTCTATGCTTCAGTTTGAATGATTTATTTAAATATTTTTAGGGTGCTTGATGTCATTGATTCTATCTTTAGCTGTATAGAATGTGGTGTTAAACTTATCCAATGACTTCTAAATTTCAGATACTGCATTTTTATTTTTCTGCTCTACAATGGCCATTTTATTTTGTATATGTGATAATTCTCTGTTTAAATCTTACTCTGTTAAATCCATTTGGGGCTACAAATCAAAATGGCTGACTAGAGGTGCACAACACCGACCTCCCCCCTCAAAGAAGGACCAAAACAATAAATATATCACTGTACTTTGAGTAGAGAATCTAAAGGAGAACATTGGAATTCAACAAGGAAGTGAAGAATACCCTCTGAGGCACAGAAACTAAGGATGGCAGCATAGAGAAAGAAGCAAAGTCCATGCCTAGGATCAGCTCAGAGCCATGAGAGATTCCTACTATGGAGAAAGGGTAGTGGGAAGTCTTCAGCAGTGCCCATTATCACCATGGACACCTGCAATCTCAGCTATATAAGAGTCCCACAGTCCTCACAGACCCTAAGCCCAATATAGCGAGCTGCTTGGAGTCCATATAGCTGCATTGCTCCAGAGAGGAAATTCATGCTGGATCTCCCCAAATCCCCAGGACCCAAGCTGCTGCAGCCTGTCACCACTTTGCAAACAGAGCTACTGCTAAAGCGCATCCTGCCCTGGAACCCAATAGCCCCTGCATCTTCACATCCCTGGATCCCCTTTTCACCCCACCATGCCCAAACAAAGGGCTGCAGTGTCATGACTCCAGATAGACCCAGTGTTAGAGTCATGATCTCAACACCCAAGCCTACTTAGCTCCCTACACCCCATGGAACCAGGCAGTCAGTGCAGTGGGGGACCACACCCAGGACTGGGAAAACCAAAGCATGCACTCTCCAGGGCCTGAAAGCCAGCCACCTAGAATCTGCAGCCACCAGCAACCTCACACCCTCAACCAATGGGGCCACCATGTGTGCCATACATGCATGCCCCAGGGCTCAAAGACAGACCTATCTGGCACCCACTGCCATCAGCAACCCCACACCCTTGACTGGTGGAGCTACCATGCACAACACTTGTGCCCCCCAGGGCCAAAGGATGGGCCGACCTGATGCCTGCCACTGCCAGTTGCCCCTCCCCCTCAACCAAAAAAGCTGCAGAATCACACACACACACATAACCCAGGGCCCAAGGATAGGTGTGGCCAGTATCAGCTAGCAATTCAGACCCCTTAATTGGCAGAGCTACCACACACTGTGCACATTCCCCTCAGGTACCAAGGACTGACCTGCCCAAGGCAAACCACCATCAGAAACTCCATCCTCAGCAAAGCTGCTCCAATGCCTCCACAAACCCTGCAATTTAGGCCACTGAGGCATCTGGAGAAATCACTGACATTAATTACAGCCAAAGAAATCACATAGAGACTTTACTACTGCATGCATCCAGAACCAATACCAAAGCACCCTACCCAACCAACACTATAGGTCACAACTACAGAAAAAATCTTTTTCTAAGAAAGCCACTCCATAAAATTGGAAGAGGTGAGAATTCCACCAGATGCACAGATATCAATGTAGGAATACAAAAACATGAAAAAGCAAGAAAATATGACATCTGCAAGGGAACACAATAATATTCCTGTACACACTTCAAAGAAAATCAAATATATAAAAAGCTTGAAAAGGAATTTGAAATAGTGATCTTAAGGAAACTTACTGTAATACAAGATAATGATGATAAATAATACTAATAAATCAGTAAAATAATACATGATGTGAATGAGAAATTCAACAAAGAGATCAATATTATTTAAAAACAAAGAAACAGAAATCTTGAAGCTGAAGATTTAAATGAATAAAATTAAGAATATAACCAAGACCTTGAACAATAGACTAGATCAAGTAGAAGAAAGAATTTCCAAACTTGTAGACAGGCCTTTTGAAATAAGTCAGATCAAAGAAAAAAAATAAAAGGTGAAATAAGCCTATAGGATCTATGGGACACCATTAAGAGAACAATTTTTTGTATTATGTGATTTCCAAAAGGATAAGAGATGGGGAAAGGAATAGAAAATCTATTTAATGAAATAAAAGCTGAAAACTTCCCAAGTCTTGGGAAAAATTTGGACATCCAGATCCAGGAAGCTCAAAAGTTCCCAAACAGATTCAGGCCAAATAGGTCCTCTCCAAGGGACGTTATAGTAAAACTGCCACAAGTCAAAAGCAGAGAGAGAATTCTTTTTTTTTTTTTTTTTTGAGACGGAGTCTCGCTCTGTCGCCCAGGCTGGAGTGCAGTGGCGCGATCTCGGCTCACTGCAAGCTCCGCCTCCCGGGTTCACGCCATTCACCTGCCTCAGCCTCCCGAGTAGCTGGGACTACAGGCGCCCGCCACCACGCCCGGCTAATTTTTTGTATTTTTAGTAGAGACGGGGTTTCACCGTGTTAGCCAGGATGGTCTCGATCTCCTGACCTCGTGATCCGCCCGCCTCGGCCTCCCAAAGTGCTGGGATTACAGGCGTGAGCCACCGCGCCCGGCCGAGAATTCTTAAAATAGCAAAAGAAAAGCATCGAGTCACATGTAAGAAAATCCCAAATAGAAAAAACACAAACAGATTTCCCCAAGTCACATATAAGGGAATACACATATAAGGTTACAGCAGAAATCTTAAAGGCCAGAAGAGAATGGGATGATGTATTCAAAGTGCTGAAAGAACAAAACTGCCAGCCAAAAGTACTGTATTCAGCAAAGCTATTCTCAAAAATGAAGGAGAAATAGCCCTTTCCAGACAAGCAAGAACTGAGGGAATGTGTGATAACTTGATGGGCCTTATGAGAAATCCTTAAAGGAGTTCTATATCCAGAAAGAAAAACACACTAACTACAATTATGAAAAACACCAAACCACAAGGATAAAAAATGAGAGAGGAAAAAAATAACAAACAATATCAAAACAGCCAGAAAATAATTTAAAAAAAGATAAGAATAAGTCTTCACCTATCAATAATGATTTTGAATGTAAATGGACTAAATTCCATAATTAAAAGATACAGACTAGCTAAGTGAATAATAAAACAAGACCCGAGTTTGAGACCAGCCGAGGCAACATGGTGAAGCCTATCTCCACAAAAAATACAAAAATTAGCCAAGTGTGGTGGCACACGCCTGTGGTCCCATCTACTCAGGAGGCTGAGGCTGGAGAATTGCTTGGACCAGGGAGGTGAAGGTTACAATGAGCTGAGATCATGCCACTGCTCTCCAGCCTGGGCAACAGAGTGAGACCCTGTCTCAAAAAAAAAAAAAATTAACCTCTTCTATAAAGGTGCACATATACACATAGACTGAAACTGAAGGATGGAAAAAGATATTCCATACAAACAGAAACCAAAAAATGAGTAAAAGTAGCTATACTTATATAAGATGAAATACACTTTAAGTCAAAAACTGTAAAAAGAGACAAGTTTATTATATAATGATAAGGGAATTAATTCACCAAGAGGATATAACAATTCTAAATATATATACACTCAACACTTCAGCACCCAGATGTATCAAGCAAATATTATTAGATGTAAAAGGAGAGATAGACCCCAATACAATAATAGCTGGGGACTTGAACACCTCACTCTGAGTATTAAATAGATTATCTAGAAAGAAATTCAACAAACATTAGATTTAAACTGCACTACAGACCAAATGGACCTAACAGACTACAGAACATTTTGTCCAACAGATGCAGAATACATATTCTTCTTGGCAGCACATAAAACATTCTCCAGGATAGACCATATGTTAAGCCACAAAACAAGTCTCAAAGAATTTTTTTTTAATTGAACTCATATCAAATATCTTTTCAGACCACAACAAAATAAAACTAGAAATCAGTAAAAAGAAGAACTTCAAAAACTGTATAAATACGTATAAATTATACAACTTGTTCCTGAACAACCAATGGTCCAATGAAGAAATTGAGAAGAAAGTCAAACATTTTTTGAAACAAATGTAAATGAAAACACAACATAACACACCTATGGTATATAATAAAAGCAGTGCTAAGAGGGAATTTTATAACAATAAACACCTACATAAAAAAAAAGATTTCAAGTGAACAACCTAACAATGTAACTCAAGAAAGCAGAAAGGCAAGAACAAACTAAACCCAAAATTAGTAAAAGAAAAGGAATAATAAAGATTAGAGCAAAACCAAACAAAATAGAGACGAAAAAATACAAAGGTTCAACAAAATAAAAAGCTGTTTTGTTGAAAACTGACAAAACTTTAGCTACACTAAGAAAAAGAGAAAGAAAACCCAAACAAATAAAATCAGAATGGAAAAAAGAAACATTACAACTGACATTGCTGCAATAGAAAGGATAATTAGAAACTATCATGAACAACTGCACATAAACAAATTGAAAAACCTAGAAAAAATGGATAAACTCTTGGAAACATACAACCTTGGTTCAACCAGGATTGAACCAAAAAAAAAAAAAAAAAAAAGCAGACCAGTAGTGAAAAACAAGATAGACTCAGTAATTTAAAAGCCTCCCAACAAAAAGAAAAGCCCAGAACCAGATGGCTTCACTGCTGAATTATACCAAACTTTTAAAGAATAACAAACACCAATTTATCTAAAACTATTCCAAAAAATTGATTGCAAGAGAAAAATTCCAAATTCATTCTATAACACCAGATATCTACAACCAAAACAAAATAAGAACACAACAAAAAAAGCAAGCTACAGGCCAGTATCCTGATGAACATAGATGCAAAACCCTCAACAAAATACTAGCAAACCAAATCCAATGGCACATCAAAAATATACTCCAAAACCAAGTAAGATTTATCCCAGGGATGGAAGGATGGTTCAACATACACAAATCAATAAACACCATAAATCACACCAACAAAATAGACAAAAACCATATGATCATCTCAATAGATGCAAAAAGCATTTGATAAAGTTCAGCATCCCATCATGGTTAAAAAAATAACTGTCAACAAATTAGGCATACAAGGAACATACCTCAACACGGTAAAGATCATATATGACAAACCCACAGTTCACTTCTATTGGATGGGGAAAAGTTAAAAGCTTTTCCTCTAAGAACTGGAACAAGGTAAGAATGCCAACTTTCACCACTCTTATTCAACATAGTGCTGGAAGTCCTAGCCAGAGCAATCAGGCATGAGAAAGAAATAAAGGGCATTCAAATTTGAAAGGAGGAAGCCAAATTATCTCTGTTTGCAAATAACATGATCTTATATAATAGAAAACCTAAAGGATTCACCAAAAAAACTCTAAGAAATGATAAACTAATTCAGTAAAGTTGCAGGATACAAAATCAACAAGCAAAAATCAGTAGTGTTTCTATACATTAATAATGAACTAGCTGATAGAGAAATCAATAAAGCAATCCCATCTACAACATCTACTGAAAGATAAAATACCTAGGAATAAATTGAATCAAGGAGGTGAAAGATCTCTACAATGAAAGCTGCAAAACACTGATGAAATTGAAGAGGACACACAAAAAAATGGAAAGACATATATCTCATGTTCATGGATTGGAATATATAATATTATTTAAAATGATCATAATATCCAAAGCAATTTACAGATTCAATGCAATCTCTATCAAATTACCAAAGTCATTCCTCACAGAAATAGAAAAAGCAGGAAGGGAGGATCCCAGATGGCTAAATAAAAACAGCTGCAATTGGAGGCTCCCACTGAGAAGAATCAAAACAGTGAGTGAATCCTGCACCAGTAACTGAGGTATCCAGGTTCTGTCATTGGAACTAGGTGGTTTGTGACTCATGGAGAGTGAGGAAAATCAGAGTGGTGCAACAGCCTAAGACCCACATGGGGCAAAGCGAGCTCCCACCCCCAGCCAAAGGAGGCAGTGGGAAGCCACACTTTTTCCAAGGATCTGTGCAACCCACAGATCAGGGAATCCCACTCATGAGCCCATGCCACCAGGGCCTTGGGTCCCAAGCACAGAGTTGTGCAGATTCTCAGCAGCCACTCAGCTGGAGAGTGCCTAAGACTACTGAGCTCCTTGAGGGAAGGGAAGCCATTATCACTGTGGCTGCCTGGTGCCTAAGATGACTGAATTCCAGGAAGGATGGGCAGCAGCCATCACTGCAGCTCCAGCCTGCCATTTTTCCCCTGCTGGGACTGGGGAGACAGAATGGTTTGCACCCAGGAGGAATTCCCCACAGCACAGCACAATGGCTGTGGCAGATCATGGCCAGGCTGCCTTTTTAGGCTGGACTCTGACCCATTCCCTCCTCTCTGGGCTGGGCCGCCCTGCAGGAATTTCAGCAACTCCAGTCAGGGATTTAGGGACAGAACTCTGATCTCCCTGGGACTGAGCCCCTGGGAAGAGGGGGAGCCATGGTCTCTGTGGATCAACAGATTTAGTCTTTCCTTCTGCTGGCTCTGAGAAATGCAGGCAGCCCAGACGAGTGGGATTCCCCACAGTTCAGCACAGCCCCTCTGCCAAGGGGCAGCCAGAGTGCTTCGTTAAGCAGATCCCAGAACCCATGCCCCCTAACTGGGTGAGACACCCCCAAAAGGGGTTGCCAGACACCTTATACAGGAGCATTCCTGCTGGCATCAGATCAGTGCCCCTTGGGGGCAGAGATCCTGGGGGAAGGAGCAGGAAGCCATCTTTGCTGTTCTGCAGCATCCTCAGGTGACACCTCCAGGTGTGGGAGGGTAGGAGGAAAATAGGGTTTGGAGTGAACCCCCAGCAAACGGCAGCAGCCCTACAGAAGAAGGGCCTGACTGTTAAAAGAAAGGCAAACAGAAAGCAAACAGAAAGCAACAACAACAACAGCATCAATGAAAAAGTCTCCACAAAAACCCCATCCAAAGGTCAGCAGCCTCAAAGATTGAAGCTAGACAAACTTATGAAGATGAGAAAGAATCAACAAAAAAAGTGATGAAAACTCAGAAAGCCAGAGTGCCTCCTCTTCACAAGACTTCACCTCTCCAACAAGGGCACAGAACTGAGCAGAGACTGAGATGGACAAATTGACAGAAGTAGGCTTCATAAGGGGGCTAATAACAAACTTCGCTGAGCTAAAGGAGCATGTTCTAACTCAAGGCAAAGAAGCCAAGAGCCATGATACAATATTACAGGAGATGTTAATCAGAATAACCAGTTCAGAGAGGAACATAAATTACCTGACGAAGCTGAAAAACACAACACAAGAACTTCACAATGCAACCACAAGTATCAATAACCAAATAGACCAAACAGAAAAAAGAATTTCAGAGCTTGAAGACTATGTTGCTGAAATAAGACAGGCAGAACAGATTAAAGAAAAAAGAAGGAAAAGGAACAAACAAAACCTCTGAGAATTATAGGACTATGTAAAAATATGGGACCTATGATGGATTGGGGTACCTGAAAGAGGCAGGGAAAACAAAACCAAGATGGAAAACATACTTCAGGATATCATCTGGAAGAACTTTCCCAACCTAACAAGACTGGCCAACATTCAAATTCAGGAAATACAGAGAACCCCAGTAAGATACTCCACAAGAAGATAAACCCCAAGACATATAATCATCAAATTCTCCAAGGTTAAAATGAAGGGAAAAGTGTTAAGGGCAGCAAGAGAGAAAGGCAAGATCACCGATAAAGGGAAGCCTACCAGACTAACCGCGGATTTCTCTGCAGAAACCCTACAAGCCAGAAGAGTTTGGGGGCCAATATTCAACATTCTTATGGAAAAGAATTTTCAGCCCAGAATTTCATATCTGGCCAAACTAAGCTTCATAAGCAAAGGAGAAATAAAATCCTTTTCAGACAAGAAAATGCTGAGGGAATTTGTCACCACCAGGCCAGACTTGCAAGAGCTCCTGAAGGAAGCACTAAATATGAAAAGGAAAAACTGGTACCAGGCGCTGCAAAACACAGTGAAGTACAAAGTCCAATGACACAATGAAGCAGCTACATAAACAAGTCTGCAAAATAACCAGCAAGCATCATGATGGCAGGATCAAATTCACACATAACAACATTAATCTTAAATGTAAATGGGCTAAAAGCCCCAATTAAAAGGCACACAATGGCAAACTGGATAAAGAGTGAAGACCCATTGGTGTACTGTATTCAGGAGACACATCTCACATGCAAAGACACAAATAGGCTCAAAATAAAGAGATGGAGGAAAATTTACCAAGCAAATGGAAAGCAGAAGAAAGCAGAGTTGCAATCTTAGTTTCTGACAAAACAGACTTTAAACCAACAAAAATCAAAAAAGACAAAAAAGGCATTACATAATGGTAAAGGGATGAATTCAACAAGAAGAGATAATTATCCTAAATATATATGCACCCAATACAGGAGCACCCAGATTCATAAAACAAGTTCTTAGAGACCTACAAAGAGACTTAGACTCCCACACAATAATAGTGAGAGACTTTAGCATCCCACTGTCAATATTAGACAGATCATTGAAACAGAAAATTAACAAAGATATTCAGGAACTGAACTCAGCCCTGGATCAAGTGAACCTGATAGATATCTACAGAACTCTCCACCCCAAAACAACAGAATATACATTCTTCTCAGTGCCACATGGCACTTACTCTACTCAATCACATAATTGGAAGTAAAATACTCCTCAGCAAATGCAGAATAAGTGAAATCATAATAGTCTCTGAAACCACAGTGCAATCAAATTGGAACTCAAGATTAAGAAATTCACTCAAAACCACAAAACTACAGGGAAATTGAACAAGCTGCTCCTGAGTGACTCCTTGGTAAATGATGAAATTCAGGCAGAAATCAAGAAGTTCTTTGAAACTACTGAGAACAAAGAGACAATATACCAGAGTCTCTGTGACACAGCTAAAACAGTGTTAAGAGGGAAATTTATAGCACTAAATGGCCACATCAAGAAGCTTGAAAGATCTCAAATCAACACCCTAACATCACAACTAAAAGAACTAGAGAACCAGGAGCAAACAAACCCCAAAGCTAGCAGAAGACAAGAAATAACCAAGATCAGAGTGGAACTGAAGGAGATAGAGACACAATAAACCCTTCAAAACATCAATGAATCCAGGAGCTGTTTTTTTGAAAAAAATTAATAGACTACTACCTAGACTAATAAAGAAGAAAAAAGAGAAGAATCAAATGGACATAATAAAAAATGACAAAGGAGCTATCACCACTGACCCCACAGAAATACAAACAACCATCAGAGAATATTATAAACACTTCTATTCAAATAAACTAGAAAATCTAGAAGAAACGCATCAATTCCTAGACACATACACCCTTTCAAGACTGAACCAAAAAGAAGTGAAATCCCTTAATAGACCAATAACAAGTTCTGAAATTGAGGCAGTAATAAATAGCCTACCAACCAACAAAAGCCCAGGACCAGAGAAATTTACAGCTGAATTCTACCATAGGTACAAAAAGGAGCTGGTACCATTTCTTCTGAAACTATTTCAAGCAATTGAAAAGGAGGCACTTCTCCCTAATTCATTTTATGAGGCCAGCATCATCCTGATACCAAAACTTGGCAGATACATACACACACACACACACACACACACACACACACACAAAATCAGGCCAATATCCCTGATGATCATCGATGCAAAAATCCTCAATAAAATACTGGCAAACCGAATCCAGCAGCACATGAACACCATGACAAAGTCAGATTCATCCCTGGGATGCAAGGCTGGTTCAACATATGCAAATCCATAAATGTAATTCATCACATAAACAGACTAAAGAAAAAAACCACATGATTATCTCAATAGACACAGAAAAGGTCTTCAATAAAATTCAACATCCCTTTATGTTAAAAACTTTCAATAAACTAGGTATTGATAGAATATATCTCAAAATAGCTGAGCACAGTGGCTCACACCTGTAATCCCAGCACTATGGGAAGCCAAGGTGGATGGATCACCTGTGTTCAGGAGTTCAAGACCAGCCTGGTCAACATGGCAAAACCCTGTCTCTACTAAAAATACAAAAATTAGCCAGACATGGGGGTATGTGCCTGTAGTCCCAGCTACTCAGGAGGCTGGGGTGGGAGAATCACTTGAACTCTGGAGGCAGAGGTTGCAGTGAGCTGAGATAGCATGATTGGACTCCAGCCTGGGTGACAGAGCAAAACTCTATCTAAAATATATATGTATTTATTATATATAATATATATTATTTATAATATTTATTTTATATTGCATTTATTATATATAATATTTGTATTTATTATATATAATATTTATTATATATTATATATTACACATATATTTATTATATATTATATATTACACATATATTTATTATATATAATATATATTATATATTACACATATATTTATTATATAATATATATTATATATTACACATATATTTATTATATAATATATATTATATATTACACATTATACATATTATATATGTATAAAATATATACATATATATTTGAGATGGAGATATCTATATATATAAAATAAGAGCCATTTATGACAAACCCACAGCCAATATCATACTGAATGGACAAAAGCTGGAAGCATTCCCTTTGACAACCAGGACAAGACAAGTATGCCCTCTTTCACCACACCTATTCAACACAGTATTGGAAATTCCGGCCAGGGCAATCAGGCAAGAGGAAGAAATTGAGGATATTCAAATAGGAAGTGAGAAAGTCAAATTGCCTCTGTTTGCAAATGATATGATCCTATATCTAGAAAACTCCATCATCTCAGCCCAAAAGCTCCTTAAGCTGATAAGCAACTTCAGCAAAGTTTCAGGATACAAAATCAATGTGCAAAAATCACAGGCATTACTATACACCAACCATAGACAAGGAGAGAGCCAAATCATGAATGAAATCCCAGTCACAATTGCTACAAAGAGAATAAAATATCTAGGAATACAGCTAACAAGGGACATGAAGGACTTTTTAAGCAGAACTACAAACAACTGCTCAAGGAAATAAGAGAAGACACAAACAAATGGAAAAACATTCCATGCTCATGGATAGGAAGAATCAATATCATGAAAATGGCCATACTGCCCAAAGTAATTTATAGATTCAATGCTATTCCCATTAACTGCCATTGATATTCTTCACAGATTTAGAAAAAGCTACTTTGAAATTCATACGGAACCAAAAAATAGCCCATACAGCCAAGACAATCCTAAGCATAAAGAACAAAGCTGGAGGCATCATGCTACCTGACTTCAAACTATACTACAAGACTACAGTAACCAAAACAGCATGGTACTGGTACCAAAACAGACACATAGACCAATGGAACAGAATAGAGATATCAGAAATAAGATTACACATCTACAACCATCAGATCTTCAACAAACCTGACAAAAGCAAGCAATGGGGAAAT
Source organism: Homo sapiens (assembly GCF_000001405.40). Classification (NCBI taxonomy): domain Eukaryota; kingdom Metazoa; phylum Chordata; class Mammalia; order Primates; family Hominidae; genus Homo; species Homo sapiens. Next base: position 91,757,954 of record NC_000007.14, read on the forward strand.
GATTCCCAATATAACAAATGGCACTGGGAAAAGTGGCTAGCCATATGCAGAAAATTGAAACTGGATACCTTCCTTACACCTTATACAAAAATTAACTCAAGAGGGTTAAAGACTTAAATGTAAACCCCAAAATTATAAAAACCCTAGAAGAAAATGTAGGCAATACCATTCAGGACATAGGCATAGGCAAAGGTTTCATGACAGAAACATCAAATTTCAACAAAAGCAAAAATTGACAAATTGGATCAATTAAAGAGCTTCTGCACAGCAAAATAAACTATCATCAGAGTGAATAGACAACCTACAAATGCCCATTAAAAAGTGGGCAAAGAAAATAAACAAACACTTCTCAAAAGAAGACATTTATGTGGCCAAGAAACATATGAAAAAAAGCTCAACATCACTGATCATTAGAGAAACGCAAATCAAAACCACATTGAGACACCATCTCACACCAGTCAGAATGGTGATTATTAAAAAGTCAAGAAACAATAGATGCTGGCAAGGCTGTGGAGAAATCGGAACACGTTTACATTGTTGTTGGGAATGTAAATATAGTTCAACCATTGTGCAGGAGGGTCTGGGATTCCTCAAAGACCTAGAACTAGAAATAAAATTTGACCTGGCAATCCCATTACTGGGTGTATACCCAGAGGAATATAAATCATTATCTTATAAAGAGAACATACATGCACATATATGTTTACTGCAGCACTGTTTACAATAGCAAAGACTTGGAATCAACCCAAATGCCCATCAGTGATAGACTGGATAAAAAAATGTAGTGATTGCTGGCAAGATGGCTGAATATGAACAGCACCAGTCTGCAGCTCCCAGTGAGATCAATGCAGAAGGCGGGTGATTTCTGCATTTCCAACTGAGGTACCCAGTTCATCTCATTGGGACTGGTTGGACAGTGGGTGTAGCCCATGAAGGGTGAGCCAAAGCAGGGTGGGGCATTGCCTCACACAGGAAGCACAAGGGGTCAGGAAATTTTCTCCCCTACCCAAGGGAAGCTGTGAGGGACTGAGCTGGAGGAACCATGCACACTCTGGCCCAGATACTGTGCTTGAACCACTGTCTTCACGACCTGCGGACCAGGAGATTCCCTCTGGTGCCTACCCCACCAGGGCCCTGGGTTTCAAGCAGAAAACTGGGCAGCCATTTGGGCAGACATTGATCTAGCTGCAGGAGTTTTTTGTTTGTTTGTTTGTTTGTTTGTTTGTTTGTTTGTTTGTTTGTTTTCCATACCCCAGTAGCACCTGGAACACCAGCAAGACAGAACCACTTACTCTGGAAATGCGGCTGAAGCCAAGGAGCCAAGTGTTCTGGCTTGGCAGGTCCCACACCCATGGAACCCAGCAAACTAAGATCTACTGGCTTGAAATTCTTGCTGTCAGCACAGTAGCAGTCAGATTGACCTGGGACACTCAGGCTTGGTGGGGGGAGGGGCTTCCACCATTGCTGAGGCTTGAGTAGGCAGTTTTACACTCACAGTGTAAACAAAGCAACCAGGAAGTTTGAACTGGGTGGAGCCCACTGCAGCTCAGCAAGGCTACTGTGGCCAGACTGCCAGATTTCCCTTCTCTGGGCAGGGCATCTCTGAAAAAAAGGCAGGAGCTCCAGTCAGGGACTTATAAATGAAACCCCTATATGCCTGGGAGAGAGCACCTGGGGGAAGGGGAGGCTGTGGGCACAGCTTCAGCAGACGTAAACATCCCTGCCTGACGGCTCTGAATAGAGCAGCAGACCTTCCAGCACAGTGTTCAAGCTCTGCTAAGGGTCAGACTGCCTCCTCAAGTGGGTCCCTGACACCCGTGAATCCTGACTGGGAGACACCTCCCAGTAGGGGCTGAGAGAACCTCATACAGGAGAGCTCTGGCTGGCATCTGGTGGGTGCCCCTCTGGGATGAAGCTTCCAGAGGAAAGAACAGGCAGCAATCTTTGCTGTTCTGCAGCCTCTGCTGGTGATACCCAGGCAAACAGGGTCAGGAGTGGACCTCCAACAAACTCCAGCAGACCTGCAGCAGAGGGGCCTGACAGTTAGAAGGAAAACTAACAAACAGAAAGGAATAGCACATCCACTCAAAGACCCCATCCAAAGCTCACCAAAATCAAAGACCAAAGGTAGATAAATCCACAAAGATGGGGAGAAACCAGCACAAAAAGGCTGAAAATTCCAAAAACCAGAACGCCTCTTCTCCAAAGGATCACAACTCCTTACCAGTAAGGGAACAAAACTGGAAGGAGGATGATTTTGATGAATTGACAGAAGTAGGCTTTAGAAGGTGGGTAATAACAAACTCCTCTGAGCTAAAGGAGCATGTTCTAACCCAATGCAAGGAAGTTAGGAACCTTGAAAAAAGGTTAGAGGAATTGCTAACTAGAATAACCAGTTTAGAGAAGAACATAAATGACCCGATGGAGCTGAAAAACACAGCACGAGAACTTCGTGAGGCATACACAAGTATCAATAGTCAAATTGATCAAGCAGAAGAGAGGATATCGGTGATTGAAGATCAAATTAATAAGATAAAGCATGAAGACAAGATTAGAGAAAAAAGAATAAAAAGGAATGAATAACACCTCCAAGAAATATGGAACTATGAGAAAAGACCAAACCTACATTTGATTGGTATGCCTGAAAGTGACAGGAAGAATGGAACCAAGTTGGAAAACACTCTTCAGGATATTATCCAGGAGACCTTCCCCAACCTAGCAAGACAGGCCAACATTCAAATTCAGGAAATACAGACAACACCACAAAGATACTCCTTGAGAAGAGCAACCCCAAGACTCATAATCGTCAGATTCACCAAGGTTGAAATGAAGGAAAAATGTTAAGGGCAGCCAGAGAGAAAGGTTGGGTTACCTACAAAGGGAAGCCCATCAGACTAACAGCAGATATCTCTGCAGAAATCCTACAAGCCAGAAGAGAGTGGGGGCCAATATTCAACATTCTTAAAGAAAAGAATTTCAACCCAGAATTTCATATCCAGCTAAACTAAGCTTTATAAGTGAAGGAGAAATGAAATCCTTTACAGACAAGCAGATGCTGATTTTGTCACCACTAGGCCTGCCTTAGAAGAGCTCCTGAAGGAAGCACTAAACATGGAAAGGAATAACCGGTACCAGCCACTGCAAAATCATACCAAATTGTAAAAAATATCAACACTATGAAGAAACTGCATGAACTAACAGGCAAAACAACCAGCTAGCATCATAATGACAGGACCAAATTCACACATAACAATATTAACCATAAACATAAATGGGCTAAATGCCACAGTTAAAAGACACAAGACTGGCAAATTGGATAAAGAGTCAAGACCCATCAGTGTGCTGTATTCAGGAGATCCATCTCACATGCAAAGACACAAATAGGTTCAAAATAAAGAGATAGAGGAATGTTTACCAAGCAAATGGAAAGCAAAAAAAGCAGGAATTGCAATCCTAATTTCTGATAAAACAGACTTTAAACCAACAAAGATCAAAAAGAGACAAAGAAGGCCATTACATAATGGTAAAGAGACCAATGCAGCAAGAAGAGCTAACTATCCTAAATATATATGCACCTAATACAGGAGCACCCAGATACATGAAGCAAGTTCTTAGAGACCTACAAAGAGACTTAGACTCCCACACAATAATAGTGGGAGACTTTAACACTCCACTGTCAATATTAGACAGATCAACAAGACAGAAAATTAACAAGGATATTCAGGACTTGAACTCAGCTCTAGACCAAGCAGACCTAATAGACATCTACAGAACTTTCCACCCCAAATTAACAGAATATACATTCTTCTCAGCACCACATCAAACTTATTCTAAAATTGACCACATGATTGGAAGTAAAACACTCCCCAGCAAATGCAACAGAATAGAAATCCTAACAAAGAGTCTCTCAGACCACAGTGCAATCAAACTAGAACTCAGGATTAAGAAACTCACTCAAAACCACACAACTACATGGAAACTGAACAACCTGCTCCTGAATGACTACTGGGTACATAACAAAATGAAGGCAGAAATAAAGATGTTCTTTGAAACCAATGAGAACAAAGACCAGAATCTCTGGGACACATTTAAAGCAATGCATAGAGGGAAATTTATAGCACTAAATTCCCACAAGAGAAAGCAGGAAAGATCTAAAATTGACACCCTAACATCACAATTAAAAGAACTAGAGAAGCAAGAGCAAACAAATTCAAAAGCTAGCAGAAGACAAGAAATAACTAAGATCAGAGCAGAACTGAAGGAGATAGAGACATGAAAAACTTTTCAAAAAGTCAATGAATCCAGGAGCTGGTTTTCTGAAAAGATCAACAAAATAGAAAGCCAGACTAATAAAGAAGAAAAAAGAGAAGAATCAAATAGATGCAATAAAAAATAATATAGAGGATATCACCACTGATCCCACAAAAATACAAACTACCATCAGAGAATACTATAAACAGCCCTATGCAAATACACTAGAAAATCTAGAAGAAAGGGACAAATTCCTGGACACATACACCCTCCTGAGTCTAAACCAGGAAGAAGTAGAGTTCCTGAATAGACAACAAGTTCTGAAATTGAGGCAGTAATTAATAGCCTACCAAACAAAAAAAGTCCAGGACCAGATGGATTCACAGCAGAATTCTACCAGAGTACAAAGAGGAGCTGGTACCGTTTCTTCTGAAACCATTCCAATAAATAGAAAAAGAGGGAATCCTCCCTAACTCATTTTATGAGGCTAGCATCATCCTGATACCAAAACATGGCAAAGATACAACAAAAAAGGAAAATTTCAGGCCAATATCTCCGACGAACATCGATGCGAAAATCCTCAATAAAATACTGGTAAACTGAATCCAGCAGCACATCAAAAATCCAGAAGCACAATCAAGTCATCTTCACCCCTAGGATGCAAGACCGGTTCAACATATGCAAATCAATAAACATAATCCATCACATGAACAGAACCAATGACAAAAACCACATGATTACCTCAATAGATGCAGAAAAGGCCTTTGACAAAATTCAACACCCCTTCATGCTAAAAACTCTCAAAAAACTAGGTATTAATGGAACGTATCTCAAAATAATAAGAGCTATTTATGACAAACCCACAGCCAATATCATACTGAATGGGCAAAAACTGGAAGCATTCCCTTTGAAAACTGGCACAAGACAGGGATGCCCTCTCTCACCACTCCTATTCAACACAGTGTTGGAAGTTCTGGCCAGGGTAATCAGGCAAGAGAAAGAAATAAAGCGTACTCAAATAGGAAGAGAGGAAGTCAAATTGTCTCTGTTTGTAGATGACATGATTGTATATTTAGAAAACCCCATTGTCTCAGCCCAAAATCTCCTTAGGCTGATAAGCAACTTCAGCAAAGTCTCAAGACACAAAATCAATGTGCAAAAATCACAAGTATTCCTATACACCAATAACAAACAAACAGAGAGCCAAATGATGAGTGAACTCCCATTCACAATTGCTACTAAGAGAACAAAATACCTAGGAATCCAACTTACAAGGGATGTGAAGGACCTTTTCAAGGAGACCTACAAAACACTGCTCAAGGAAATAACAGAGGATGCAAACAAATGGAAAAACATTCCATGCTCATGAACAGGAAGAATCAATGTCATGAAAATGGCCATACTCTCCAAAGTAATTTGTAGATTCAATGCTATCCCCATCAAGCTACCAATGACTTTCTTCACAGAATTGAAAAAAACTACTTTAAACTTCATATGGAACCAAAACAGAGCCTGCAATGCCAAGACAATCCTAAGCAAAAAGAACAAAGCTGGAGGCATCATGCTACCTGACTTCAAACTATCCTACAAGGCTACAGTAACCAAAACAGCATGGCACTGGTACCAAAACAGAGATATAGACCAATGGAATAGAACAGAGCCCTCAGAAATAACACCACACATCTACAACCATCTGGTCTTTGACAAACCTGACACAAACAAGCAATGGGGAAAAGATTCCCTATTTAATAAATGCTGTTGGGAAAACTGGCCTAGCCATATGCAGAAAACTGAAACTGGACCCCTTCCTTATACCTTATACAAAAATCAACTCAAGATGGATTAAAGACTTAAATGTAAGACCTAAAACCATAAAAATCCTAGAAGAAAACCTGGACAATACCATTCAAGCCATAGGCATGGCAAAGACCTCATCACCAAAAGCAATGGCAACAAAAGCAAAAATTGACAAATGAGTTCTAATTAAACTAAAGAGCTTCTGCACAGCAAAAGAAACTATCATCAGAGTGAACAAGCCACCTACAGAATGGGAGAAAATTTTTGCAATCTATCCATCTGACAAAAAGCTAATATCCAGAATCTACAAAGAACTTAAACAAATTTATAAGAAGAAAACAAACAACCCCATCAAAAAGTGGGCAAAGTATATGAACAGACACTTCTCAAAAGAAGACATTTATGCAGCCAACAAACATGAAGAAAAGCTCATCATCACTGGTCACTAGAGAAATGCAAATCAAAACCACAATGAGATACCATCTCATGCCAGTTAGAATGGTGATCATTAAAAAGTCAGGAAACAACAGATGCTGAAGAGGATGTGGAGAAATAGGAATGCTTTTACACTGTTGGTGGGAGTGTAAATTAGTTCAACCATTGTGGAATACAGTGTGGCATTTCCTCAAGAATCTAAAGCTAGAAATACCATTTGACCCAGCAATCCCATTACTGGGTATATACCCAAAGGATTATAAATTATTCTACTATAAAGACACATGCACATGTATGTTTATTGTGACATTATTCACAATAGCAAAAACTTGGAACCAACCCAAATGCCCATCAATGACAGACTGGATAAAGAAAATGTGGCACATATACACCATGGAATACTATGCAGCCATAAAAAAGGATGAGTTCATGTCCTTTGCAGGGACATGGATGAAGCTGGAAACCATCATTCTCAGCAAACTATCACAAGAACAGAAAACCAAACACCACATGTTCTCACTCATAAGTGGGAGTTGAACAAGGAGAACACATGGACCCCGGGAGAGGAACATCACACACTGGGCCCTGTTGGCGGGTGGGGGTGCTGCGGAAGGATAGCATTAGGAGAAATACCTAATGTAGGTAACGGGTTGATGGGTGCAGCAAACCACCATGGCACATGTATACCTATGTAACAAAACTGCACCTTCTGCACATGTACCCCAGAACTTAAAGTATACTTTAAAAAAAAAGAAAATGTGGTACATATACAACATGGAATACTATGCAGACATAAAAAGGAATGAGACCATGTCCTTTGCAGGGACATGGATGGAGCTGGAAGCCACTATCCTCAGCAAACTAACACAGGAACAGAAAACCAAAGATGGCATAGTTGTCACTTATAAGTGAGAGCTGAACAATGAGAACACATGGACACAGGGAGGGGAACAACACATATTGGGGCCTGTCAGGGGGCGAGCAGAGGGAGAGCAACAGGATAAATAGTTGATGTATGCTGGGATTAATACCTAGGTGATGGGTTGATAGGTGCAGCAAACCACCATGGCACACATTTACCTATGTAGCAAACCTGCATCTCCTGCACATGTATCCCAGCATTTAAAACAAAATAAAATAAAACAATCTTATAATGAATGTAGAGCCACAAAAGACCCTGGATACACAATGAAATCCTGAGCCAAAAGAACAAAGCTGGAGGCATCACCCTACCTGACTTCAAAATATACTACAAAGCTATAGTAACCAAAGCAGCATGGTATTCGTATTAAAACAGACATATAGACCAATGAAACAGAATAGAGAACCCAGAAATAAATCCACATGTTTACAGCCAACTGATTTTTGACAAAGGCAGCAAGAACATCCACTGGGAAAAGGACATTATCTTCAATAAACGGTGCTGAAAAAACTATATATCCATATTAGGAAAATAAACTAGACCCCCCCCATCTCTCACCAAATACAAAAATTGACTCAAAATGAATTAAAGACTTAAATGTAAGATCACAAACTGTGAAATTACTAGAAGAAAACGTAGAGAAAACACTTCAGAAAATTGGTCTGAGCAAAGATTTTATGGAAAAGACCTCAAAATCACAGTCAACAAAAGCAAAAATATACATATAGTATTATATCAAATTAAAAAGCTTCTGCATAGCAAAAGAAATAACTGACAGAGTGAAGCAACAACCTGCAGAATAGAAGAAAACATCTGCAAACTATTCATTCAAGGGAATGATATCCAGAACATGCAAGGAACTCAAACAACTCAACAGAAAAAATAATAAACCAATTCTAAAATAAGCAATTGATCTGAACAGACAATTCTTAAAAGAAGACATAAAAATGACAAGAACTATATTAAAAATGCTCAACATCACTAATCATTAGGTAAATGCAAATCAAAACCACAGTGAGGTATCATCTCCCCCAGGTAGAATGGCTATTATCAAAAAGACAAAAAAATAATAAATTCTGGTGAGGATGCAAAGAGAAAGAAACTCTTATACACTGTTTGGGGAGTGTAATTAGTAAAGCAATTATGGAAAACAGTACGGAGGTTCCTCAAAAAATTAAAAACAGAACTCCCATATGATCTTGCAATTCAACTACTAGGCATATATCCAGAGGAAAGGAAATCATTATGTGAAGAGATATCTATCTGCACTCCCATGATTACTGCAGCACTATTCACAATAGCTAAGACGTGTGATTAACCTAAGTGTCCACCAACAGATGAACGAAGAAAATGTAGTATATATACAAAATGGAATACAATTCAGTCATAAAAAATAAATACAATCCTGTCATTGGCAGTAATATAGATGAGCCTAGAGGACATTATGTTAATTTAAACAAGCCAGGCACAGAAAGACAAAACAGCATGATCTCACTCATGTGAAGAAGCTAAAAAAGTTGATATCAGAGAAGTAGAAAGTAAAATTGCTGAGAAGGGTAGGGAGGAGGAAGTAGAGGGAAAAGTCAGCAAATAAAAAAATTCAGCTGGGAAGGAGGAATACATTCTAGTGGTCTATAGTACTGTAGGGTGACTATAGTTACAATAATTTATTGTATTTTCAAACAGCTAGAAGAGAGAATTTTAATGTGCCCCACACAAAGAAATGATAAATGTTTGAGGTGGTAAATATGCTCCTTACCTTGATTTGCTCATTCAGATTTTATATATATGTGTGTGTGTGCATGTGTGTATGTGTGTGTATATATGTATGTGTATATATATGTATATATATATATATATAAATATCACTCTTTACCCCATAAATATGTACAATTATGATGTCAATTAAGAACAAAAAAACTCATTTTGTCCTTGTTCATCTTTTCTATAATAGTTATTTTAAAGTGTATGTTTTATACAGACAAACTCCACAGTCCCCAGTGCTCAGTAAATGTCTCATGTGGAAAGCAGTTTTGTGTTTTGGGCTCCATTGGATTCAAATCCATCGTGTCAGCACTTGTCACCAAAAGCTCCATGGAATTCTCTTTCTTCCACTACAGGCCCTCCACCTAGGCTAAATTGATCCTCAGCCTATAATCTCTAATATAAGACTGAGAAAACACTCTCATGGAAGAAAACTGCCAGTGATCTCAGCTACCCTCAGAAGGACTCTTCCCTGCATGGAGTTTTAGTTTATCTAGTCCTCTTTGCTTTCACAGATCTCTGATGTTTTCAAAAATATGATTGTTTTGTAATTTATCCACTATTTTCTAGTTGTTGCAGCAGGAGCAACCCACCATATTCTATCTAGAAATGGAAGTTTTATACTCAAGTCCCCACAAGTTATTATAATAGGGGCAAATAGTGTTGCAGGACTTTTCCTTAGATCAGCTAAAGACTGGGTTCTTGTCTGTCCCACGGCCACAAAAATTTAGCCTCGCAGACGATTTAAAGGGTGAGTAGAGCAGGGGTTTTTTGGGTGAAACGGGGAAAAAAAAGGGAGACAGGGATCCTCCGCAAGGCCAGAATCCCCTGCTAGAGCGCTTCCCGCCAGCAGTTGGAATCCCAGGTTCCACACAGGAAGAGGAGGGGCCAGGCTCCTCCCTGCTGCAAACATCGTCAACTTCCCGAGGCCCCACCTCAACACACAGGCTGGTTGGAGTTTTTCCAGGGACCCCCTCCCACCTGGCTGTCTCAATAGCACACGCTAGAAAAGCCTCTTTGGAGGAGTTTCTGAACATATCATAGGGCAAGTCAAGGCCTCAAATTCATCTTACAAAACTCAACATACAGTAAATTGCAAACTGATGTCTCAAACTATAATATGTACAATAGCTAAATGTTGTAGAAAATTCATTCAGAAGATATTTATTCAAGGCCTATTACGTACAAAGCACCATACTAACAACTAGAAGAAGAGAAGAAACAAAAAATATAATATAGTTTCTAATCTCTCAAGACTCTCACTAGAAAATATAAAACAAGAATACTAATAACAAATACAATAAGTAATGGATGCTACATTCACTTGGATGAATTTCATTTAACTTATTTATGTGCTTGGAATGGAGTGCTAAATAGACTTGTGGATGCAGGATTAGGTAGACTTCATGGGGGAGGTGTTATTTGAATTAGAACCAGAAGAAACAGCAGGATTTTGATGGGAAAGACGTTCCAGGTCTCTTGGGAAAAATATTTACAAAGCCTCAAAGACTAAAAAAGAAAAAGCATTTCAGGCAGAGTTAGGATTTCATGATTTATCCTGGTTTCACTTTAAAAACATCAGGACCATCTGGGAAGCTTGAAAACATACCAATACATGCCCCTCCACCTCCTCATCATGACCAGTTAGAATCTCTGGAAATGCGGCCCACATATTTTTATTTTTTTAATCTCCCCCAAAAATTATGATGCACAGTAAGAGTTGAAAACTACTAGTCTCCAATATAAGAAAAATAGAAAAATTACACTGATATTATAGGGCTTTTGTCAAAAAGTAGACAATCTTGAGTGCTAGGTTGAAATGTAAGTGCTTTATTGAGTTAGTAAAGGAAAGCCACTAAATTAAGCCATACAATAAACCTAGTGGCAGAGTGCCAGACCATTGGTGGGTGGGGGGACTAGAAGTAGGGAGACCAATTAGCTATTAAAAGACATTGTAAGGACTTAAACTTTAGAGGAGGGGGTGGTTTACAGAAGCAATAAAAAGAAGGGAACATATTAAATAGATAAGAAATTGATAAGGCAGAATAGATAGGATTAAGAACTAACTGAATATAAGCAAAGCAAGAGAAAATAGCCAGTGAATGACAGCCTCCAGATTTCAAGGCCAGTTACTAATTTACCTATGCTACTATTAACACAACTGGGAGGTTGAGAGGAAAACCTAGGGTTACCATGCGGAGGAAATATGGCATATTATGTTTTAGGAACTTGGGGATTTGGGTGGAAATGTCCAGGAGACATCTAGAAATTTCAAAGAAATTAAAGATAAAAATACAAGTATGAGAGATATTTACTAGAGGTATTCATTGAAAATATGGTTAAAATTGGATATAGGAATGGAAGGGAATGGAAAAGCAAGTCCAGAGAGGTTGTGCTCCTCTCTTCTCATCTACTTGCTTCTTTACCCCATCAATTCTTCTTCCACACTCTGCTGTAGTGTACTAGCTAATAGTCCCTACCTTCCCTTCCAACCAGGAGCAGGCTTGGGAAGGAGTAACTATAAAGGCAGCAATCAAGTCTGTAACTTCAAGAAAAAAGTGAAGAATGAAGATAAGGGACAGAAGGGCATACCAAGTAACAAGAGATGAAAGAATACGTTTTATGCCCCCAGGGTCACCCAACTGAGGTGGTCATATCTAAGTTAAAATGTATATGTAATGAAACATTCATAATTTGAGCTAGATGAGAGATTGTCCATATATTTCAAATAATTTTGTCTAAGAGAAGTCTAGTATCTTAGAAGTGAGACATGAGTCTTAGAAGTGGGTGTTTTTTTATTTATACTTTTTTATCTAAGTTTTATATAATCAATATACTTTTTTGAGACAGGGCCTTGCTCTGTCACATAGGCTGGCATGCAATGGCACAACCATAGCCCACTGCAGCCTCAAACTCTGGGTTCAAGCAATCCTCCCACCCCAGCCTCCCAAGTAGCTAGGACTACAGATGAGTGCCACCACAACCAAGCTAATTTTTTTTAATTTTATGTACAGATGGGGTCTTGCTATGTTGCCCAGGCTGTTCTCAAACTCCTGGTCTCAAGCAATCCTCCCATCTCAACCACCCAAAGCACTGGGCTTACAGGTGTGAGCCACCACGGCTGACTCATCTTTTTTTTTTTTAGCTAGAAATATCTATACCGTTTTGCATTCACTTCCCTTCCCATTCTGAACCACCCTTCCAAAAAACTTTTTTACAATATTGGATAGAATGCTCTGCTGTATGTCATTGCCTAAAATCAGCCTACCAGCAGGGAATTCAGCAAAGAGAATAACAATTCTGCTTAACAGAATCCAGACGGACACATGATCAGGAAAACAGATAAAACATTTCAGGGCTGGGGATAACTTAAGTGTTATTGAGTAATAAAATAATGTTTCTAGCTAATCATCTTAGCTTTTCTTATGTCTGAAGAATAGCTTCATGTACAATGGTGACATTTAACACAAGAAAGAATCTCCAAAGATCACCTACTTTTAAGCAATTAAACATCTAAGCCATCCAGGACAAAAAGTAGTCTGAGCTCTACATCTTCCCTTGACAGCCCATCCATTGTTCTGGAGTTATGATAGTGATAAATTTCATACTATATATTTGATTGCAAAATTGATACTACAGGGACAAGGAAAGGAGAGACATTTCAAGTTAAGTCAAATCTATGTCTCAGTCACTATCCTGCTGAGAAGACAAAATCATATCCAAACCATATCATGTACTCCTAAATTCTGAGAAAGCTTGATTTAGAAGCATGGTATGAAAAAATTTCTTACTACAAGATCATACCTGGAAGACACCTAGAGGTGTCCAAATTCTCAAAAAGAAGTAAAATGTAAAGTTGAACAGTCCTTTGGGGTATCCAATTATTGCCAGATATCCAGTATTGCCAATTGGAGAGGCAGCCATTTTCTTTTTACATCTAAACTGAATAGACTTACTCTCCTATGAATAGACTTACCTTCAAAAGGCAAACACACATCATCAAATGAAATACACAAGCTACTTATCCATTTCTTTCTCTTGTGGAACAAAATTATAAATTGTAAGGATACCCTTGATTATCAAATTCCCATTCTTGTGGAGTAAAGCCAAATCTTTACTATGAGCATGGGCAGATCAGACATCGCTTGAAAACGTAGTCAAATTTTGCAAAAGCCTGCATTCAAAGTGACACTGCATAATGGATATGTTTGCTCTTCTTTGGAAATTCAAAGTTGAGCTCTGTTGCTGGCAAAGAGTAACAGAGACCAAGCATTAAATAATGAAGCCACATATCAACATCATTCATAATTTAAGGCTAGAAAATTTACCTCATTTGTAAGTTGCAATTAACTGGCTATATCTTAATAGTTGAATAAGAGCAAAGCCACATAACTATTACCCTTTCATTACTAATTGGGGATTAAGGTTACTTATGACACATCATTCTGTGTTCCCCAACAGTTCGGATGAAATCACCACTGCTTTAATGCAAGATATTAAATAGATGACTGGTACTTGGAAAACTTTCTAAGTTTAGTTTGTAACTGACATGTGGTTCTTTGGGAGATTTGCCCTCTAAAAGTCCAATAATGAATCATGTCCTCACAAGCATTTGCTTTTTTAATAAGCATTAATTGTTTATCAATGCTAATAATTAATCATTTTTTCCCTTTAATAATATTGCTATTGATTGCAGACTAGGAATGTCACAGATTCCATAATGGTTTACAGAGTATACATAAATACATGAAATCAAAGCAGTTATGATTTCATTATTTAGGTATCCATGTGGGAAAAGGCAAAAAGATCTCAGCTATTAAAAGTGCTGATGTAGTTCACATTTGTATTTTCCTAACAAACATCTAGTCCCTTCATATTTCTTACATTAGCAACTTGGAGGATACAGAGGTGCCCTTCAGAGTGTCTCCACATATCATTATCATTTCTCATGATATTCAAAGGACCAGTTCTAAGGCTGTCTCTCCAAAGTGTTGAGAGATTGGCTTATTTTCAATCCAAGAATGCATAATGATAGGAGTTACATGGAACTGCCTTATCTAACATTCCTAATAATATACCACAAACTATTTAGCTAAGATTTGTTGACTTGTCTTCTTGACAAGTCAACACAGCTCAAAGTTCAAGTCACCAAAACAGTACCAGCCATTCAATTCAAAGCAGTATTCAACACTTCCAGGTGTAACGTATGACCAGATCATTCTACCATATTTAATACAATATGATTAACTTCATTTGTGCCTGCCAATCTAGAAGAGGCAGGCAGGAGCCTGTGAAGGATCTTAAGTGAACTCTCAGCCACACTCCCCATAAGTCTGCTCATATATTTAGATAGCTGTGCAGATGGACATATCATAAAATGTGCTCATGATGTGAAAATTTGCCAAAAGGAACAAGCAAGTCCTAACTTCAGCTTCAAGACAAAGGTAGGAATGTGGATATGATCCAGGGCAATGCAGTGCTGAGCAGACAGAGTGGAGAGACATTTAATGATTCATCTAACCAGTTGGCGTTCAGGAGGGTTGTAAAGGCACCAGCCCCTGGCACACTTGAATAGTTGTTTCCCACCCCGTCAGCACTGCAGGCATTGAGACACGAAAGCACAAAGCAGAGAGTGAGAGAGTGGGCAAGTAAGACAAGAGGATAATTGTGATGTTATTTGGCCTCTACCTTATTCTGTTCCCCTGAGGTTAGAGAAATTGTTTCCTTGAACTACATAAGCTCATTTCCTTAAAGTATATCAAGAATATGATATTGCATTTTTTGGAGTCAAGTGAAACTCTTTTCAACAAATTTTTATGCCAGAATTTTCTAAAGTTCCATCCCAGTGCATCATCCTAAAAATAGATAAAAGTCTCTTTGTATGAAAATACTGTTTAATGAATTATCACCCAGTAAAAACATTTGCTGGTTTTTTCTGATCACTTTATCAGCAGTGTAAGCACCAAGGAGTGACTTGAGAACTTCCTGCATATACACACATTGTCTAGTAGCCCCTTCCAGTCCACCCCAAATAATGCTAAGTAAAATCACTGAACTGGTTACTGAAATATGGCTACAAGAAATCCCTTGTTCCCTCTTCCTGTCTGACCATCCATCCCAATTATGTCCTATATGGAAATCCTGGAATCCAGAAAAAATAATGCCTTCTTTTTCTTCTTTCTCTCCTCTTACCAACTCCATCTTTCTTAAAAGTTTCTCATTCCAAATAGAAAACCCTGGCCAGGTACAGTGGCTCATGCCTGTAATCCCAGCACTTTGGGAGGCTGAGGTGGGCGGATCATGAGGTCAGGAGTTCGAGACCAGCCTGACCAATATGGTTAAACCCCATCTCTACTAAAAAGTTTTTAAAAATTAGCCAGGCATGGTGGTGAACGCCTGTTGTCCCAGCTACTCGGGAGGCTGAGGCAGGAGAATCGCTTGAACCCAGGAGGCAGAGGTTGCAGTGAACCGAGATCACACCATTGCACTCCAGCCTGGGCGACAGAGAGAGACTCCGTCTCAAAAAAAAGAAAGAAAGAAAAAGAAAACCCTAATTAATGTCTCTCTAAGTCTCTGCTATAAAGTGGTAGGCATTAGTATAGAAAGAAAAAATTAGTTTAGTTTTTTAGTGGCTATATCCCTAAACCTCAATTAACATCGTCTTCCTTCCTTTTTCTTAGTATCCATCCTTGAAGAGCAAGATGCAATATAAAATTTCCATTACTGTTACTAATGCATCACATAGTGACTCTAAGGTTGTAATTAGTTGGTAGAAAATAAAAATATACTTATCAGGATGGGTCACCATGATCGTACTAATGCCCAATATTTCAAAAGTGAGACCATAGTTCTAAGTATTTTTCAGATGTTGTCTCCTGTTTGTAGCTTTACCTGGTCCCAGTGCCCTGGCAAAATGAATCACCTCTGTGTCCTGATAGCACTTTATTTGTACCATTAATATATCATTTTATACATTCTATTGGCGTTCATTATCAATATGTTATGGTTTTTTCTAGATCATGACCTACTTGAAAGCAAAATCCATTGCATATTTATCTTTTTATGTTCACCTTGTCACACAAAGTTTATCAACACAGAAGTTAGCAAAAATGTGTTGTGTGAATGAATAAAATAAATGAAAACAATCGCTTATAGAAGGAACCTCTATACTAAATTTGACAATCTAGGCAACAAGTTGTCTTTTGAAAGGAGGGGTAGGGTGGGATTTAATTTAACTAAAAAGCTGAGATAATTAAAATCAAACATGAAGAAAATGGAGAAAATAAATACCAATTTTTTTCAAAATCACTATGCAAGATCAGCATTGTGCATGAATTGAACTCATGTATGGTGACACATTGTCTATTTAAAGGTATTCATCATGACGGTGATAACTCTGAAAGTCTGGGTCTGGGAGCATGTGGCCTAAGGCTTGAGCCTGGAAAAGTGAACTAACTTGAGCCAACAGGTACAATGAACTAGAAGAATCCATAATAGTCCATCTGCCATGCGGGTTTCATATGTCAATGAGCCCCTTGGACATGGTGAGGACCCACTGAGAAGAAATGAGAACCTAGTGGACTTCTCAAGTTAAGTCAGTCTCCTAGGTAAGAAGTACCTATTCCCATTTTGGTTCTTCCTCCAGCCTCCAGCATTTGAATCCAAATGACAATTCACAAAGCCAAGAGTGATTTCCTGGCAGGGAAGAAAGAAGGTGGCCCTACCATGGGAGCCATAAAGCATGAGAATCACCTCAATTAGGTAAGTGTGGGAAACAGACCTGACCTGGACAAAGGGGTATTCTGAAAAGCCACCTGAATCCAAGAAATGGCACTAACTAAAACAACCAGATCTGGATTTCAAAACATGTATTGTGCAGATAACTCATAAACTCTTTTTATTTATAAACTTTGATTTGCTCTTGCTTTTGTTATTTGAGGATTGATTTGTGTGTGATTAAATTAAAGCATTTCTATACTGTATCATCAAAAAAGAAGAACTTCAGGAAAATCTCTATTGGTCAAAATTGGTCCTTCAGGATCTGAAAACTAGTTCCTCAGAAGAGAAGACCTAAGGCCTACTCTTGAAGCCAAGGGTGTAGAACATACCTCTTTGTTTGCTTGGCTCCATTCCAGTTACTTTAATGAGCTGATGCTCTCATGTTGGCCCCTTCTGCCATCCTCCAATATTTGAATTCAAATGAAGGATCAGCTGGGCATGGTAGCTCATGCCTGTAACCTCAGCACTTTGGGAGACGAAGGCAGGAGGGTTGCCTGAGCCCAGGAGTTCAAGACCAGCCTGGGCAACATAGCAAGACTTCATATTCACAAATTTTTTTTTTAATTAGCCTGGTGTGGTGGCACACACCTGTGGTCTCAGCTAATTGGGAGATTGAGGTAAGAGAATTGCTTGATCCTGGGAGATCAAGACTGTAGTGAGCTGTGATTGCACCACTGCACTCCAGCCTAGATGACACAGCCTGTCTCAAAAACCAAACAAACAACAACAACAACAAAATACTACAGACTCATAGGCAATTTACCCACTCTGGACACAGTGTCTTATCAAACACAAGTCTCACCTCTCCAGAACATGGCAGGACACATAGATTTCAAAGTCTTCAATATTTTGCTCCCATACATTCAATGAATTCTCAAGAGGAACTAATCCAATGAGTATAGTTTCAAGTCACCAGCTAGATATATAACCCTGGTAGAGAAGTCAAGGATAACAGCCATGTTTCAGGCAGAATAAAACTTTAAGCCTCTAAGACAGTTTTAACAAATAAGAAATACTTTTCTAAGAAACTCTAGAAGAAAAGATGCAAAGTACATGCAAGCTGGAACATGTTTTCCTTTAGCCCTTTCCAGAAATAAGTTTATTTTAACAATAACTTTCATGTGTTTTTCTACAGTCAGCAATAACTAAACTCTCCCCATGAGAATCATCCTTAGTGGCAATATCACTGTAGGGATTTAGGAATCAAACAAGTTTGTTCTGCATCTTTTAATGCCAGTAAACTAAACACAAATACTAAATGTGAAAGAAAACTCTTAAGCTGATTTCAAATCACAGGCATATGTTTGGATGGAAAAACATACTGAGGAACAAACACTTCAAAGGAAAATCCTTTAGAAATGGAATCACTGGCACCAAACCCACTGCCTCTTAAATTCTTTGACCAAAAAGACTGCTTCAAGACTCCTCAGCTCTTTACCCCTATAACCAAAGCAGGAATATTTGGAAGCAGTCCTGAAACCATAACTTCACTTGTGACACAATCCCTTTTCCGTAACTCTGGCCAAACAGTCTAACTCTCTAAGGAACCAAGAGTCAAGCAACCTCTTCCTCTTCATGTAAAAATAACTTCCCAAAGGTGATGAATTCTGATACAAACACAAAACTACATCACAGATGCAACACTGTTTTCGATCATCATAATTCTATCACTTTTGAGTTATTATTTTCTTATAGGCTCATTTCCACTTTATCTTTAGGATTAATGTATATATTTGTGTGTGTGTGTGTGTGTACATATACTCACGTACATATACCAAAAAAGCTTAAACTGAGGATTTAAAATCAATGGTAATTTTTAAACCACATGACAACAGGTTTGGGAGAACTTTCATCTTGGATTCCCTTTCTATAAGTCAAGTATATTTAATTCTGTGTGTTCACAAAATAAGCTTGGATGGAAAAAGACAAACAGTAGAAGATGAAATAAATTCTCTTTCAAAATTTTTAAAGATTTTTCACACATTTAAAATCACAAATAAACCATTCAGACAAAAACATTCTCAGTTGGAATATAAATTATACATGCAAACATGAATTATACATAGAAAAGCTGTTATATACATATATGCACATTTCTGGGTATTTATGTTCCTAATAAGAAGACCATAAGAGGATACAATTCCCATATCTCTAGGTGCCAGCAGCATTGAAATCATTTAGTAACAGATAATTTTCAGAAGTTTTTCAGAACTAATCCTTTTGCATATATTTTATGTGCATTAAGTTCACCTTTTATTCAGTGTTATAAATTAGAAAACTTGTACTCACAGACTAAGAAAAGTTATCTGTGTGCTAAATGGTTTCACTATTATTTTCTGCACAAGAGCACAGGGCATTCTGTTTAACTCTTGACCAGTCTGAGAGAGGCAGCTTTCTTCTTACATTTTTCTCTCACATGTGTATTCATTCATTTAGATAGCTCCGTCTTTTGCCCTGGTCTCTGGCAAGTCTCAGGCCTGAAGAATTTCAAAGGCATCAAAAAACTTAGCAAAGAACCTCTAGGAGCCAAATAGCCAACTCTAGTGTTCAAGAGCTACAAATGCCTTGGGTACCAAAAGCTGCAAGGAAAAGGGTATCCAAGCAGCAGCTGCATTACATGCTAAAATAGAAGAGTCACTTGGATAAAAGACAAATACTTTCACAAAGCACAGGAAGAGTCCCCTACTACCACCACTACCTTCTAAAACTGTCTCTTGATATTCGCTTATTGCTTAAAAATGCAATCACTGTCCTGGAATTCATCATCCTTTTCCCTGCTTAGATAACTCCTAAAGGGACACCATGACAGGAGTTCTTTGTGAACCCAGTCAGATAATGTGGAGTGTTGGTTCTACTTTTGCCAAGTGAAATGAAAAGCGAAGAAGGAAAGTGTATGATGTAAGACATTCCCAATCCAGGCTTGCTCTGATTCTCCATCTCAAGACTGAACAACAGGACAGTGCGAAGTGATAAAAACTTAACCCATTCTTGTTACACTTGTAGGTTATCACCTCTAGGTCACCATTAGTTCCCATGTCTCAGCAATTAATTATAAAAATGGAAACCGCTCTGACCTTTGGTTTTCCGAATTTTTGAAAATAAAAAGAAACAGTCTTGAAACAATCAAGACAAAGACCAAATGGCAAAAGAAATGAGTTGTTTGGCAAACATTTTTGTCAGATTAACATTCATATTTTTGTCCTTGTTTGGTAAACCCCAGAGAAAATCTTACATGCACCTCTCCTGCCTGCCCTGTCCCTTTCCATCACCTTAATCTCACCCCCAAGTTGGAATGAAAGTCATTCTTCCTATGTCCCCATAACATTTTGTTCAAATACTTATCACATCCTGCTATAACTACACTATAATTACATAGATGTCTCATCTGCCCCACTGGACAGCAAATTGGTCAAGATCATAGAATAGATTGCATTCCACATTTTTCTTTCCAATGTAACTGGCAATAAATATGTGTTGAATTAAATCAAATTGAAGTAACTAAAAGCGCTAGAAATAGTTGAATTCCTACTGCATGTATAGGATACTTATCATGAATAGTCTTTGAAGCTGAAAAATACCTGTATGTAAAGTATGTAGCAAAAACTGTGAGAGAGTGGGAAATGAACCTAGGGTATGACAGATTAGGAATCGCTTCTTTCAGAGAAGAACAAAGGATTATATTCAGAAGCCAAGATAAGCCTCTTATTTATCTATGTGACTGAAAGCCTATTAAAAGCAAGATTGTGTTGGGGCCTTTCTGAAGTAAATAGGCACAATTATAGGGAAGGAGTTTACAGTAGTCTTTAAGAATGTGAGCTCTAAACTAAAAGAGTCTCCTAATGGCCAAATTTGGGTATATGAGTATTTGAGCTACAGAGTAATTATATTAATTGACCATAACCCACAGAATAAAGTAAGAATCCACGCAGTTTCTGCTGATAAAAATAAAATGATGACTCTTCCTTACAGTAAAATTGCAACTAATAAATGTAGAAGGAATGATGGAGATAAAAAAAATCACAAAACAGCAACCACCACCACTGTAGCTGTTTCAGGCAAGTATCATCAATAAATGTTAAAAGCTGGGGCAAATGTATGATGAGAAACAGGAAATTTATTTTGGCTCAAAATGTTATTTGACAGCAAATGAATGTAACTTCTTTAAAAATAAAACTACATCCAGGGAGTGCTCCTGAAATAATGAATAAAGAAACTGTATATACTTGCTCTTGTTCAGTGTATTTTTTAAACTAAATTTTCAAATGACAAAGGTAAAATAGTACATTTGCAGTGGAGAAAGCTGACAGCCTCCAGCTTAACCAAGTGATCAAAGTTACCACCACCAGTGTTGGATAAATCAAAATCATGTGCCTCTCACATGATGCACTGAGAAGAATACATCACTTCTACAATACTTTTGCCAGAAGTTTCCAACCTGAACTGAATCATGAGGAAACATCAGACAAATACAAACTAAAGGACATTCAGTGAAATAATTGGCCAATATTCTTCAAAATTGCCATGGTCATAAAAGACCAAAAAAGAATGAGGAACTTCCTAGATTGGATGGAACTAAGGAGACATGATAACTGAATGCAGCATGTGATATCCTAGATTTGATCTTGGTCCAGAAAAATTCCTAGTGGGGTAACTGTCAAAATTTGAATAAGGTCTGTAGTTTAAATAACACTATTGCAGCCATGTTAATTTCCTGATTTTGATAATTTATATATTGTATTTATATAAGTTATTAACATTTGGAGTAACTAAGTGAAGAGTTTATGCACATTCTTTGAACTCTTTTTACAAAAAAAAAAAAAGAAAGAAAGAAAAGCTGTGGACTCTAGTATCATGCTATCTAATATGGTGGCCGCTAGTCACATGTGGCTATAAATTGAAATGCAGCTTGTCCAATTTGAGATGTGCTATAAGCATAAAATACACACTAATTTTAAAGAGTTAAGTTTTAAGGAGTTCAGTACATTTTTTTTAACTTATTTTTCAGTTTTGCCCTCAGGGCAACCACACAAGTAAATAAGTCCCATTATTTTATAATATGTGAAGTTTTGTTGTTGTTTTGGTTTGTTTTTTATTTTTATATTTTTAATTATAAATTCACAAATTATAGTTGTGTACATTTATGGGGTAGAAAGTGATGTTATGATTTATGAATACAATGTGGTTTGTGTCATGTTTTTTCTAAAAGTCAATAGTACTCACATTGACCATATATCCTTTTCTAGACTTGGTTCTTAATGGCTTAGGATTTTTCAAAAGCTTCAGCCTCTCCCAACTAAAAGATAATCAAAGGAATGTGCCACAGACTCAGAGGGGAAAAAATATGTTTTCATGATGGTCTAAAAATACTTTGATTAATAAATGCATTGTTGAAATCAGTAATAGCTTCCCCCAAAAAAAACATTTTGAGAGACCATATTTTAGTTATGTAGATTCTGAATTAAGTTTCTTTATAGTCAGATTACATTTTAGACACATTTTTGTCTTTGTTGTAACCTGCAAAGCTTATGAACCAGATGAATAGTGGTTTCTGCCTTTTTGTATTTGCAACATACAATTGCTACTCTTTTTTTATTTAAAGACACATGCATAAAACCTACTCCTAAACATTTTTAAAGCAAATATTTCATTTTATGTTTAAATACATTTAAGTTGGGTTTTTGGTCTCTAAAGCATAAAGAGTACGTCTTGGGTTCACTGGGACGACTCTGGGATTTCGCAAAACCTGAGCTGGAAATTACAGTCCTGAACTAAGACTCAAGCAACACAGGATTATGGAAAGTCCTGGTATTATTTCAAGTCAGGATTTTCTTCCATATCCAATTTCACCCAAAGTCGAGCATTAGTCAGCCTGAACCTTTCATATAGCAGAAAGGAGATTTGATTAATGTGATTTCTTTGTAGAAAAATCTAAGAAGATTAAGGCACAATGATATAGGAAAAGCATGCCCTTTATCGACATGACATTCTTCAGCACTATATAGAGGTCTGAAGATCTTTCTCATCATTAGATTGTTCACACTAGCTGCATCTGAAAAAGGGAAAAAAATCTATCATCAGGAAAAACTTTCAACTTTTCACATTTTAGTTTCCATCTCACGAACAGGTCAACAAATCTAGAGGTTGGTATCGATTTCACTCTATACACAGGAAAGGGCATTTTTCAAGGAAACATTTGCAGATTACTTCCCCAACCCACCCACCCCACCCCTCTTCTAGGGACTGAGTTTTGTGATGGTCCTTGGGGAAAAAAATTAGAACCTTCTAGATGATTTCTGTACTCAGTGAAGCACAATGCAAAATAAATCCAGTTGGTGTGATTTCCATTAACTATTCTCCATCTGTGCATTCTGAAAATCTAATACTAACCAGGAGGTATGCTTCTCTGATATGAGAAAATGAATTCAAAGCTGGTTTAAAACATATATATATGTATGTATTTATATATATATGCACACACATATATATCAAATGTCATCTGCCTCTTCCACTTTTATATACATTTGTGTGAAAAAATATATGTTGAGCAAAAAAGAATAAAATTAAAATACCTTTCCCTAGATCCTCTCAACTTTCAGAATATGGATATTATACTCCCACTGCTTTGCTCAAATGTAGACCATTTGAGAATGCGATAGATGAAGAAGTAAATTACTTTCAACAGATCATTTCCAAAGTTGTTTTCTCCTTGGACTATCACATGTCAATTTGATGGATATGAATCTGAAGATCCTGTTACAATTGAAAGGGCTGCAGGGTCAGAATTTACTGAGCAGCCTTCTTTGTACATCTCAGCTGCCCAGCTAAGACACCTCAGTGCTCACAACTTAAAGAACCCCTACTGTGGCAGTCAGGGGCCTCTTGATCCTGCACTTTTCTTCAGAAATCTGACAACCCAGTCAAGGGTACCTAAATGGATACAAAAACTACCTTAGCTCTGGGGGAGAGGGATAAAAACTGATGAACCTGGTATTTAATATCCATATCCTCAAATACAATTTACATTGTTACATGATGGCATAAACACTCAACTCCTGACTTTTAAAATGATAAAAGTTTTTTGTTTTTTAGGTTTATTTAAGAGTTGGGGTCTTGCTATGTTGCCCAGGCTGGAGTGCAGCAGCTATTCATAAGCATAATCATAGCACACTGTGGCCTCTAACTCCTGGCCTCAACCAATCAATACCCCTGCCTCAGGCTGCTGAGTAACTGGGACTGCAGGCACGTACCACCACACCCAGCTAAAATACAAATTTTTGACAGTCACTGTTACTACAATCTTCACAACCAAGTATAATAAGACATAGTACTAGTACGTTAATTAGTCAGTTACATTAAAAACTACTCTCATTTTGATAAATTAATCCTAGTATAGGTAAAATAGAAAAAAACTACAACATAACTCATCATAGAGAAAGTAATATAGTTATGTGAATAGACAGGAATAACTAACACTCACTATCTGTTCTCAAGTAAAACCATAAGCTTTTATTCTTAATATCACAAAGAAAAGATATATAAAACCAAAAGTTATAATACTTAACAGAGAAACAATAACAAGAGTCAAGGATGTCCTTACAATCCATTTCTAGTAGGTTGAGCCATATGAAATTGTCATTTTTGAAGGCCAAAAGAGGTTGAATACCAGGTATTTCATATGTTTCCATCTAATAATAAATACTGTACTATAATTCAAATTAGATCTAGAATCCATTCACTTCTCCCCATTTCCACCACCACCATCTTCCACCTGGAAAATTTCAATAGCTTCCTAACTGGTCCCCCTGCTTCCACTCTCCTCTGCAATTTATTCTCTCTTCTGCAACCAGAGTATTCCTTTTTTAACCTTTTATTTAAGCTTAACAGACATTAAAAGTGCACAAATCATGAGTGTACAACTTGATGAATTTTCACAGACTCAGCACATCCACGTGACCAGTGCCCAGAACAAAGAATAGAATATTCACAAAAATGGACTCATGCACTGTGTCCTTTTTTGCATTTGGCTTTTTTCACTCAACATTATATTTAAGTTGACACATTATTTCATGTTATTAGGTACCATAGAGCAACAAATTAGTCATTTTCCTTGCTGTATAACATCTTGTTGTAGGAATAGATCACACTTTATCTATCCATTCCACTGTTGATGAACCAGAGTAAGCTTTTTAAAATGTAAATAAGATCAGGTAATTTCCCAACTTCAAACTCTTCACTTGCTTCACTTTGCAGTGGCGCTAGCCCACCTGTCCTATTTACCCTGCCACACCTGCAGCCCCTTCTCCTCACCCCCATGCTCCATCCACACTGCCCTCCTTTCTATTCTCTCTCTCTGTTTTCCATTCCTGAGATGTTCTCCCTAGCCACTATCAGTCTGTCTTCTACCCACCTAATTCGAAACCAAATGTATAGGGCTGGCTCTGCCTCATCCTTCAACCTCAACAGGGATCATCTTCTTAGGGATGGCTTCCTTAACCTTCTTCCTTGGAATACTCCCTTATTCTATTTCACACCAATCTGCTTGTTTCACCTTGACTTTTCACTTTATTTCACCTTGACTTTCCTCTGAGAAGAAAACATTAAGGATAAAATGCCTACATTATCAATAGCAGAGAGAAATATAATTCAGTTCTTTTTAAAGCAGAGCTCCACCCAAGGGGAAAAAAGATTTACTATCTAAGGTATAGCCAAGCCTCAATTCATGAAATCAATTCAGTTTAATAGAAACATCAGTCTAGCTGGTTTTCCGACATAGCGTTAAGGGTTTTTTTAATGATTGACAATTTTTCATTTTTCAATATGTTACTTTGGCATCATAGCCAGTCAGAATGAGAATTAAGTGCTCCAAGAGGTTCAGGATCAGAGAAATGTTGAGACCAAAGTCCTATTATTCCATTTCCAAATTCCAAACTAGATTTCTAAGATGCTCTGCAATATGCCTTGTGGGTTGTTTCCTGCAGGCAAAGTGGCAGTGACTTCTCACAAAACTATAGAGCTCCAATAACAAAATCCTTTCAGCTGAAAAAAAGGCTGATTTTATAAGGAAAGTGTTTACAATGTTTTCTACAACATACAAATGTTTGTACAAAGAAAAATGAAGCAAAGTTTTAACTCATCTTTTCAAAACTAAACCAGAGTTTAAAATCAAGCTACTAGAAGTAAACTGGTGCATTTATGCAATTTGTGAGTCCTAGACATTTCTAGTTAAGCAAAGAAAAGTGGTGTGTAAAAAAACAGTAATGTATTTTTAAAGGGTAGTAGGGAAATTAAATGTGTTCAGTTGAGTTTAACTTCTTCAAGAAATAAGCTTCTTATGCTGGTAAGAAATGGGTCATAGCAATAAAAGTATGCTGTAAATTCAACTTGACAAATGGGAAAATGAATTCCTGAGGGTAAGGCCTATTAAAAGAATATATTAATTTAATCATGCAGTGAATATTTCTGAGTAGCTTGTATATATGCAAGAAACTGCCTTACATATTTTAATGAGGAAAAACATAGTATTAGTTAATATAGCAATAATTTTTTCTATTACTAACTTCTCAGCTATAATATAGAAAGATCAAATATAAGGAAAAAAAGTTAAGCCTCTATATAGAGATGCAAGTTTCTAATACTTGCTTATAAACTTCAAAA
Source organism: Homo sapiens (assembly GCF_000001405.40). NCBI lineage: Eukaryota > Metazoa > Chordata > Mammalia > Primates > Hominidae > Homo > Homo sapiens. Next base: position 91,784,556 of record NC_000007.14, read on the forward strand.
TTCAATAATGTGTCACACCCACAACTTAAAGACATGTGCAGAGCATTAGTCATTTCAGTGAACAGAAAAGCGACCTGCTTCTTCTGCATAAAATGTGATATGATGCCACCTTATGGTTGAAAATTAAACCTTATGTTTTAGGATGATAAACAATTATTTTCAGATGTACTTTCTTAGATGCCTGAAGGAAAAGATGCTGAGTACCACTAAACCTGTAAAATTTACAAATCGAAGTGCACAGAATCAACTTACCTCTGTGAAGAAAACATAAAACAGTTATGATGCAAGTGTGCAATGTCTGGCACGTAGGAAGAGTGCCTATTTGGGTTGCATTTAGGTGGCTGCTCATCTGTCTGCTCATTCTAGTTATTTTTATAACAAATCTCCGTTAGATTTTTCTAGCTCAAATCACTGTTCTTTACTTCCAAGTTTATAAAAACAAAAAAAGTATAAAGTGAAACTAAGCAAAAGTTTTTCAAATTCACCACATAATTTACTATTAGGATGAATCATATAAAAGTTCCATTTTTGTGAATCAAAAATTGTCCAGTATGGGAAATTCCATAAGATTCCTTCTAGAGTTATCTTAAGCATAAATGTGAATTTAATAATCTCAGATAATAAATAACCATGGTATTAGTCCATCATCAAGTGTCAGTCCCTCTTCACTAAACTACTGGTGAAACTCTTACACAGAAGAAACCTGGCTTTGTCCTTTCTCAAGTACCCTTCATCAATGGCACTCCTCTATGACACACCAATCCTCTGCTTGGGCTCCACTGTGCCTTCATATCTTCCACTGATCCACCATTCAATACTGTTCCAACTTTAAAGTGGGGCACTGTTATCAGCCAAATTTTTATAATCTTGGTTAATTCTATTTTTATTTACTATTGAACAAATCCAGAAACTTTGGGAAATACAGATCTTCTTTAATGCATATCCTATAAAATGCTGCTTCCAAAATTATTTGTCATCTCAGTATTGCTATAAAGCCTCAATTGTTCCTGAGAGGATAAACTAACTTCCAGCCTGAGAGAAACCTAAAAAGTTCTCTCTTATTCTAAAGTTTTTTCTTTTGTCACAATATTATTCTTCCTTCTCCCTTCTCCAGTAATGATAACTGCAGTTAAAACTCTCAAGTGACTTTTTAACCAAAATGTTTAGTGCTCAACTGTTGAACCCTTATTATATATGTAGGTTATTCTATCTTAGCAGTAAACTTGAGGGGAATGTTATAGGAACATTATAGAAACAAATTAACTTGTAAACATGAATATAAAATTATTGCAAAACTCAGGAAATCAAATGTAAAATGTTAATATCAGAAGAAACTGGGTGACGGGCATATGGGAACTCTGTAGTATCTTGGCAACTTTTCCATATATATAAAATTATTTCAAAGCAAAAGCTTGATTAAAAAAAAAAAGTTCAGGGAATCAGAACCAGAGTCACAGGTATTAATTTGTCTTCTCTCCAACAGCTTTGCCAGATTGAGGTTTCTTTTCCTCTTTTGCACATTTATTTATGTATTCTATACACTCGGGCCCCCTTACATCAGTAAGGAATTGGAGCTGTCATCTTACTCCATAGGAGAAAGGCCAGCCTGGTGGCTCCTTGTTTGAAGTTCCCTGCTCAAATGCCAATGTAGATAGGGGCATGATTGCTCTGTGAGCTTAGCCAGGTCACTTCCCTCTCTGCACTTTGTTTTCATCTTATGCCTAAAGGGACAGATAATACTTACCTCCCACCTCTACTTGAAAAGGAAGGAAGGCTAAAAAGTTAATCTGAACATATTTTTATAAAGGAAAAACATTTTTAAGTTCCAGTTTTGTACATAATACAGAATATTAATATCTACTGTTTTTGTCAGCCTTAGATAGTAAGCTTCTTGAAGCAGATCCTGCTCTTTGATTCACAATAGATACTCTTGAGTCGCTTCACAAATAATGATGCCAATTCTTAACTCTTAAGTTTTCATCCTGAAATTTCAGATTAATTTAGAGTAGCTTTTGCAGCCACCCATGAGTACATTGGTGTTAATGATGCACCCATTTTCCTTTCCTCAATGTTTGCTTTACTTCTAATAGAGCACAAGAGCCTAAAAATCTACCTTTAGAACATTATTTACATCCTGAGAAAGGACTTGTGCCCAGAATCACATGATAACACATAGACCTTGACTCAAGGGCCAACTTGTACTCTCCCATTTGGCTGCCATTTCACTCCTGACGCTGTCTCTGTTTAACCTTTTGGCCCCTCAAGAGAAGTAGCAGAAGCCACTGAATGAGGAATGGGGGTTCTCAGAAGTCACTGAGATTAAAGGGGTCCACCCTGCAGGAACAGCATTTCTCTCTTCCTAGGCAGTTTTTGCTGCTCCTGTCAGGTGGTAAGAAGAGGAGAGAGGTTTTTATTATTATTATTATTAATCCCAAACTGTCAACTTCAAAGGAGGAATTTAGAAGTTTCACAATTAGAAAAAATACATAATGTAATGGTTGCTGGTGATGTACACAGCCTATGTTAAGGAGAGAGACAGAGCCTAAAGATTCTTACCCCAGTGGAGCGCCACTCGGACTTATGCATGAGGAAATCTATTTACCATATGTTAGCTTCATGCTCTCCTCTTTCTTCTAAGGAAAAATTTGCTTTTCTGAGGACATGACGGACTTTTCTTTCCTACAGGCCTAGATAATATATTACTTAGCCTTGAGAAACTGAGAAATCCCCCACTGTGTCACCTTCTAGAGCCCCTGTCAACCCTTTGCAACTCCAAGAGACAAGTCACTCCTACTTTCCAGAAAACATTCAGAAGCAAGCACCAGCCCTTCCCCAGAGGTCAAGCAGCAGAAAGGGCCTTCCACTGCAGGTGTGAGAGAAAATCTGAGCTCACTCCTTTATCGCCTTGCTTAGGGCTGGCTGTACAATCTCCTCATCAAAAAACATAGTGAGAACAATCAGCATATGGAAGGACCCAAATATAATCAGGATGTGAGGATCTGACAAAGTTCAAATACATTACAATTTAGAGCTGCTATGTCTAGTACGTTAACCACCAGCCACATGCAGCTACTTAAATTTAAATTTAAATAAATTAGAAACTTAGTTCTCCAGTCACACTAGCCAACAGTAGCTGTTGTATTGCACAGCCCAGATATAGAGCATTTCCATCATTGCAGAAATCTGTACTGGAAAGACTGATATAGCTAACACAGGAAAATACATTTTAATTCTTCAAATCCTACTATGTCATCTTTTATTCCTTTTAGTAAACATTTGTTGAACAACTACTTCCTGCAAGTCACTGGACAAGGTGCGGTAGAGCATAGAAAGATGAGTATGACTGTAAGTGGCCCTCAGGACCTTTGAGATTTAGAAATCTAAGATAAGTAACTATCTATAAGATAGAAATACATACCGTAGAGAAAGAACAACCAAATTGTTGTGCTTAAACAAGTAGAAATGTATGCAACCATTTCACACTGAGCTTCAGCAGTCCCAGAATTCCAAGATAACAAGTACTGTCCTGACTGAGAAGCTGCACATTTCCATGCTGTCGGTTCCATGGAAACAGCATTTGGATGTGTTCCATCAAAACTGCTTTGAAAAATGGTCCAAAGCAGAATTTACTTTTGTGAGAAAAAAATACAAAAAACATAAGAGGCACCACATGCTAATGGAAGTAGCACAAGATTTGGAGTCAGAAGATCTGTTTGAGAGCCAGCCTTATCCTTGCTACCTGTGTGATGCTGGGTAAGCCACTTAACTTCTCTGGGCCTCAGGATTCTCATTTTCAAAGTGGGAAAAATAATCCCTACCCCATATGCCCCATAAGGGAACACTGTAAAAATAATTAAGATACTGAAAGCACCTCAGAAGCAGTAGGATGCTATATTATTATTACCACAGAAAGTGACATGAAACTTTGGAGGACATATAAATCCATAACTGCAAGCAAGTAAATTTTAAAGGCATGTGGAAGGTTCAAGTTCTACACAGTGAATATAATCAAATTCTCAATCTGGGGATTTTTCTTAGATTTAAGAGCACAAACATATACTCCCTGAGCACCTTTATCTCTTCTACAGGGACCACAGCCAGGCCAAGTTCACTCCATCTTCATCCCAGAGGATAATTTGCCTCATGCCAGCATGAAGGACACCATAGCATCAAGGATGAACTTACTCTGAATGACAAATAATTAAAACTTCCTGGCTAGAACAAGTCAACCACTGAATGGGAAAATTGTATATTTTTGTTGTTGTTGTTTGCTTGTTTTGTTTTGTTTGGATATGGACAATAGAATGGATCAGTAGGATCATTGCTATCCTGTACAAATGGGAGGAAAGAAGGTCTTGGAACAATTGCTAGATATGTGTTCTGTTGATTTCATGAATAATTACAATAAGAATTTCACACTTTGTAATCACAAGCTTTTGAGTCTGTCCGTGAAAATGCTAAATGCTTCTGTAAACGTAAAATGATACCACTTTTACTTTCCTGCAACTCCCAGCAATAACATGGGATGATTTCTGTTTCAGCAGAGTGTGTGACCAGAATTGGGGTTTTTTCCAGATGTGCATAGAATGGTTTCAATTACCTAGTGCCATGCCTTAATTTTTGAGCATCCCCTTGAACCTATTGGGTTTGGCAGTTCCAGCAAAAGCATGGAACTGTGGAAGGGGCTGTCCAGCCATTCAAGCTATGGTTTCACCATACTCACCATGTACTGGCAAGAACTAGCGTGTAATAGAATAGAAATGCTTATGTTGGGATGCAAGGCACCGAATAGCATAAATTCTAAACAAGGAGGTCTAAGGTTAAAATAATAAACTTTAAATGATGTATGCCACATGTGACATTTTGGTTCCAGATGTAACAAAACCAAACCAAAGTCTTTTGCTAGACAATTCTAAAACAATATTACTCTCCTAGGTTTCTGATTCTGATTTTGCCCAGTTGCTCACAGATTACACTCTGGCAAACTTGGAGACAACACAATACTGTTTAAAATACACATGCTGGGAAACCTGCATGATGATCTGCACTAAATCATCCCTGGATTCTTTGTTACTGTGGTCACTTAACCATTTCCACAAATGTGGCATGGACTTTTTCTTCTGGAGAAAAATTTTAAATAATCACTATAAGTAAGTAGTACAGTGAACTCTCTCCCTCCTTGAATAAAACAATAGTCATTTGTTCTAAAATAATTGGCCACTTATCCCATATCTCAGCAATTTATAGCTCAACTGTCTAAAACTGAAATTGCAACATTTTAATAGCAAATTACAGACTTATCAGTCATGGAAGAGTCCGGAAGTGGGTTCCAAAAAGTCCAAAGTTTGGTATACATTTCATAACCCAGTTGAAAGATCCAATAGTCTTTTCTTCACTATTTCAAAATTCTATTTTTTAATTATTTTGAAAACTTTGAAGTACATATTCTATCTTGAAATGCTTCAACATTTATATCCTTAAGCTCTGGAGTATAAAACAATCACGGGAATAACTATTATTTAGTTTGGTGTTCTATCACCATGTCTTTGTGAGGAAGGTAAGTTATTGATAACCTTACTTCATTGTATTATAATAAGGCTAATATGGTAGCCAGGAATGGTGGCATGCACCAGTAGCCCCAGCAACTCAGGAGGCTGAGGTGGGAGGATCACATGACCCCAGGAGTTCCAGATCAGTGTTAACATAGAGAGACCCTGTCTCAAAAAAAAAAAAGAAAAGAAAAAGAAAAACAAAGGCTGGTATGAGACCCAAGATCACACATGGGATTATCAATGAAATCAAACAATGGTGAGTATCTTGGGACCCGAAGTCCACCTTATTTGAAAATATAGTGATGGCTAATTACTTTAGTTAAACTACATAATAGGTAAATTTGTTATAAAACTACTATATGAGATTGCCATTCCAAGATGGCTGAATAGGAACAGCTCCGGTCTGCAGATCCCAGCATGATAGATGCAGAAGATGGGTGATTTCTGCATTTCCAACTGAGGTACCTGGTTCATCTCACTGGGACTGGTTGGACAGTAGGTGCAGCCCATGAAGGGCAAGCCAAAGCAGGGCGGGGCATCGTCTAACCCAGAAAGAGCAAGGGGTTGGGGGATTTCCCTTTCCTAGCCAAAGGAAGCCATGACAGATTGTACCTGAAAAAATGAGAAACTCCCACCTAAATACTGCACTTTTCCAATGGTCTTAGCAAATGGCACACCAGGAGATTATATCCTATGCCTGGCTCGACGGGTCCCACGCCCATGGAGCCTTGCTCACTGCTAGCGCAGCAGTCTGAGATCGACCTGCGAAGCAGCACCCTGGCAGGGAGAGGGACGTCTGCCATTGCTGAGGCTTGAGTAGGTAAACAAAGCAGCCAGGGAAGCTCAAACTGGGCAGAGCCCACCACAGCTCAGCAAGACCCGCTGCCCCTGTTGACTCCACTTCTGGGGGCAACGCATAGCTGAACAAAAGGCAGCAGAAACTTCTGCAGACTTAAATGTCCCTGTCTGACAGCTCTGAAGAGAGCAGGGGTTCTCCCAGCACGTCGTTTGAGCTCTGAGAACAGACAGACTGCCTCCTCAAGTGGGTCCCTGACCCCCCTGTAGCCTAACTGGGAGGCACCTCCCAGTAGGGGCCGACTGACAACTCATACAGGTGGGTGCCCTCTGGGACGAAGCTTCCAGAGAAAGGATCAGGCAACAATGTTTGCTGTTCTGCAGCCTCCGCTGGTGATACCCAGGCAAACAGAGTCTGAAGGAGACCTCCAGCAAACTCCAACAGACCTGCAGCTGAGAGACCTGACTCCTTTTTTTTTAATTTTATTATTATTATACTTTAAGTTTTAGGGTACATATGCACAATGTGCAGGTTTGTTACATATATATACATGTGCCATGTTGGTGTGCTGCACCCATTAACTTGTCATTTAGCATTAGGTATATCTCCTAATGCTATACCTCCCTCCTGCCCCAACCCCACAACAGGCCCTGGAGTGTGATGTTCCCCTTCCTGTGTCCATGTGTTCTCATTGTTCAGTTCCCACCTATGAGTGAGAACATGCAGTGTTTGGTTTTTTGTCCTTGCAACAGTTTACTGAGAATGATGGTTTCCAGTTTCATCCATGTCCCTACAAAGGAGATGAACTCATCATTTTTTATGGCTGCAAGGTATTCCGTGGTGTATATGTGCCACATTTTCTTAATCCAGTCTATCATTGTTGGACATTTGGGTTGGTTCCAAGTCTTTGCTATTGTGAATAGTGCCACAATAAACATACGTGTGCATGTGTCTTTATAGCAGCATGATTTATAATCCTTTGGGTATATACCCAGTAATGGGATGTCTGGATCAAATGGTATTTCTAGTTCTAGATCCCTGAGGAATCGCCACACTGACTTCCACAATGGTTGAACTAGTTTACAGTCCCAACAACAGTGTAAAAGTGTTCCTATTTCTCCACATCCTCTCCAGCACCTGTTGTTTCCTGACTTTTTAATGATCGCCATTCTAACTGGTGTGAGATGGTATCTCATTGTGGTTTTGATTTGCATTTCTCTGATGGCCAGTGATGACAAGCATTTTTTCATGTGTTTTTTGGCTGCATAAATGTCTTCTTTTGAGAAGTGTTTGTTCATATCCTTCACCCATTTGTTGATGGGGTTGTTTGTTTTTTTCTTGTAAATTTGTTTGAGTTCATTGTAGATTCTGGATATTAGCCATTTGTCAGATGAGTAAGTTGCGAAAATTTTCTCCCATTTTTTAGGTAGCCTGTTCACTCTGATGGTAGTTTCTTTTGCTGTGCAGAAGCTCTTTAGTTTAATTAGATCCCATTTGTCAATTATGGCTTTTGTTACCATTGCTTTTGGTGTTTTAGACATGAAGTCCTTGCCCATGCCTATGTCCTGAATGGTATTGCTTAGGTTTTCTTCTAGGGTTTTTATGGTTTTAGGTCTAACATGTAAGTCTTTAATCCATCTTGAATTAATTTTTGTATAAGGTGTAAGGAAGGGATCCAGTTTCAGCTTTGTACATATGGCTAGCCAGTTTTCCCAGCACCATTTATTAAATAGGGAATCCTTTCCCCATTGCTTGTTTTTGTCAGGTTTGTGAAAGATCAGATGGTTGTAGATATGCGGCATTATTTCTGAGGGCCCTGTTTTGTTCCTTTGAACTATATCTCTGTTTTGGTACCAGTACCATGCTGTTTTGGTTACTATAGTCTTGTAGTATAGTTTGAAGTCAGGTAGCATGATGCCTCCAGCTTTGTTCTTTTGGCTTAGGATAGACTTGGCGATGCAGGCTCTTTTTTTGTTCCATATGAACTTTAAAGTAGTTTTTTCCAATTCTGTGAAGAAAGTCATTGGTAGCTTGATGCGGATGGAGACCTCACTCTCAGAAGGAAAACTAACAAACAGAAAGGAATAGCATCAACATCAACAAAAAGGACATCCACACCAAAACCCCATCTGTAGGTCACCAATAACAGGCTCTGAAATTGAGGCAATAATCAGTAGCCTACCAACCAAAAAAAGGCCAGGACCAGATGGATTCACAGCCAAATTCTATGAGAGGTACAAAGAAGACCTGGTACCATTCCTTCTGAAAATATTCCAATCAATAGAAAAAGAAGGAATCTTTCCTAACTCATTTTATGAGGCCAGCATCATCCTGGTAACAATGCCTGGCAGAGACACAACAAAAAAAAAGGAATTTCAGACCAATATCCCTGATGAACATAGATGCGAACATCCTCAATAAAATACTGGCAAACTGAATCCAGCAGCACATTAAAAAGCTTATCCACCACGATCAAGTTGGCTTCATCCCTGGGATGCAAGGCTGGTTCAACATATGCAAATCAACAAACGTAATCCATCACATAGCAGAACCAACGACAAAAACCACATGATTATCTCAATAGATGCAGAAAAGGCCTTGGACAAAATTCAACAGGCTTTCACGCTAAAAACTCAATAAACTAGGTATTGATGGAACATATCTCAAAATAATAAGAGCTATTTATGACAAACCCACAGCCAATATCTTACTGAATGGGAAAAAACTGGAAGCATTCCCTTTGAAAACTGGCACAAGACAGGGATGCCCTTTCTCACCACTCCTATTCAACATAGTGTTGGAAGTTCTAGCCAGGGCAATTAGACAGGAGAAAGAAATAAAGGGTATTCAATTAGGAAAAGAGGAAGTCAAAATTGTCCCTGCTTGCAGATGACATGATTGTGTATTTAGAAAACCCCATCATCTCAGCCCAACTGAGCTAATAAGCAACTTCAGCAAAGTCTCAGGATACCAAATCAATGTGCAAAAATCACAAGCATTCTTATACACCCATAACAGACAGAGAGCCAAATTATGAGTGAATTCCCATTCACAATTGCCACAAAGAGAATAAAATACCTAGGAATCCAACTTACAAGGGATGTCAAGGACCTCTTCAAGGAGAACTACAAACCATTGCTCAATGAAATAAAAGAGGACACAAACAAATGGAAGAACATTCCATGCTCATGGATAGGAAGAATCAATATCATGAAAATGGCCATACTGCCCAAGGTTATTTATAGATTCAATGCCATCCCCATCAAGCTACCAATGACTTTCTTCACAGAATTGGAAAAAACCACTTTAAACTTCATATGGAACCAAAAAAGAGCCCACATTGCCTAGACAATCCTAAGCAAAAAGAACAAAGCTGGAGGCATCATGCTACCTGACTTCAAACTGTACTACAAGGCTACAGTAGCCAAAACAGCATGGTACTGGTACCAAAACAGAGATATAGACTAATGGAAAAGAACAGAGGCCTCAGAAATAACACCACACATCTACAACCATCTGATCTTTCACAAACCTAACAAAAACAAGAAATGGGGAAAGGATTGCCTATTTAATAAATGGTGCTAGGAAAACTGGCTAGCCATATGTAGAAAGCTGAAACTGGATCCTTCCCTTACACCTTATACAAAAATTAATTCCAAATGGATTAAAGACTTAAATGTTAAACCTAAAACCATAAAAACCCTAGAAGAAAACCTAGGCAATACCATTCAGGACATAGGCATGGACAAGGACTTCATGACTAAAACACCAAAAGCAATGGCAACAAAAGCCAAAATTGACAAATGGGATCTAATTAAACTAAAGAGCTTCTGCACAGCAAAAGAAACTACCATCAGAGTGAACAGGCCACCTACAAAATGGGAGAAAATTTTTGCAATCTACTCATCTGACAAGGGCTAATATCCAGAATCTACAAAGAACTTAAACAAATCTACAAGAAAAAAAACAAACAACCCCATCAAAAAGAGGGCAAAGCATATGAACAAACACTTATCAAAAGAAGACATTTATGCAGCCAAAATACACATGAAAAAATGCTCATCATCACTGGCCATCAGAGAAATGCAGATCAAAACCACAGTGAGACACCATCTCACGCCAGTTAGAATGGCGATCATTAAAAAGTCAGGAAACAACAGACGCTGGAGAGGATGTGGAGAAATAGGAACGCTTTTACACTGTTGGTGGGAGTGTAAACTAGTTCAACCATTATGAAAGACAGTGTGGTGATTCCTCAAGGATCTAGAACTAGAAATACCATTTGACCCAGCCATCCCATTACTGGGTATATACCCAAAGGATTATAAATTATGCTACTATAAAGACACATGCACACGTATGTTTATTGAGGCACTATTCACAATAGCAAAAACTTGGAATCAACCCAAATGTCCATCAATGATAGACTGGATAAAGAAAATGTGCCACATATACACCATGGAATACTATGCAGCCATAAAAAATGATGAGTTCATGTCCTTTGCAGGGACATGGATGAAGCTGGAAACCATCATTCTGAGCAAACTCTCACAAGAACAGAAAACCAAACACCACATGTTCTCACTCATAGGTGGGAATTGAACAATGAGAACACTTGGACACAGGGTGAGGAACATCACACACTGGGTCCTGTCGTGGGGTGGAGGGCTGGGTGAGGGACAGCATTAGGAGAAATACCTAATGTAAATGACGAGTTAATAGGTGGGGCAAACCAACTTGGCACATGTATACCTATGTAACAAACCTGCACGTTGTGCACATGTACCCTAGAACTTAAAGTATAATAAAAATAAATAAATAAAAATAAATAAAAGTACTATATAATACAATAATAAAATATTAAAATACCCATGAGAAAGTCAGCAAGACTGTTCCTAAATCACAGGGTTATTGTATGCTAGGTGGCTAAATGCCTTTTTACTTCTTCAGTAAAACTACTTAAAGGCAAAATAATATACCATTAAAGCACAAGCAGAAGTGGAGAAATAAAAATCAGATGCAATCCAGGTATATCCAGATGAAAGCTAAAGAAAGCAATGCACTGTGAGAGAAAAGCCAAAGGGAGTCAAATGACCACAGAATTTCAGAGCTGAAAGGATCTGAGAGCTCACCTATTCTACCCCAACATTTTACTTAATAAAAATAAGAAAAATGAGCCCCACGTAAGGAACTGGCTTAAATTGAGAACACAGTTGGAACCACAATCAACTTCCCTCCTCCTCTTTAAACAATGCTTTTTCTACTAGACCCAAGTCCCAAGTCTTCAGTTCCAGTTCTGGCCATAACACTGAATTGTCTATGGAAAACACTAGGCAAATCACAGAATCCTTCCATATCTCTGATTTCTCCTCCGTAAAAGCAGAATAACATCAACCACTTATCGTCTTCATAAGACGATTGTGCAATATTATGTTGACAATTCACATAATAAAGTCATACACTCAAAAGAATAAAAACAAAACATCAAAGCAATGTTTTTTAAGATTATTTGAAGTTACATGTGGATATGAAATTCTCAAAGTTCAGGGCCTTAAATAAGGCTGGAGTCAGTAAATCCACAATCCAGTCATAAAACAAAGATGTATTATACTCCTGCAAATGCTTTTCCAAAGTTATCCAAGTCAAAATAATCATGGAGAAGAAAAGAAAATCATGGCACCTAAATTAATAGGCACTAGACATTTGAAACAAGGAATTGAAATAAGTGTGCAAATTTAAATTGTGGAATTTTCCTTTGTGTTCTTCTCATAGTTATTCACGATACAGGCAATATCATTTGCAAGCAAAGATAAACATTCTTTACTGATGCCAGGAAACATTCTTTGCAGCAAAAACTTACTAATGAATATCTTCTCACCAGTGGGCTCCTATCTCCTACCAAGAAGAAAAACTAATTATTTTTCTTAAATTTGTTTCAATTTTTAGATTATATTTTCTACATTAAGCAAAAAAAAAAGACTGAAAGTCTATGAGCCCTTTAAATCATATTTTATCACAATTTTCTTCACTTAATCATATTATAGGAGGAGAGAGACCATTCTTGATATGTCTTTATGAAAGATGGCAATATGTTATCACTTTTCCCTTCAAATTATATTGAAGATATTGGCATAGAAATAGATTATTAGCTTATTCTATTATAATTAATGTGTTTATGATGACTAAAGAAAATAAGGGTTCTATGTGATCCTGTGATTTCAGTTATAACCAATATACACAACCAGTAAGTTCTTTAAAATCAAGGTTGATCAGAAATGACCCCATCACGTAGGCCTCTACAGTATTGGGGGGATGGGGGGGTTCCTTTTTTTATCTTAGATTTATCTTTTATTTTATTTTTAATTGCTATGGATATATAATAGTTGTATGGGTGGAGGTAGGGTTTGTTTTGTTGTGTGTTTTTGAGAGGGAGTCTCACTCTGTCACCAGCCTGGAGTGCAGGGGCACAATCTCGGCTCACTGCAAGCTCCTCCTCCCGGGTTCAAGCGATTCTCCTGCCTCAGCCTCCCGAGTAGATGGGACTACCGGCGCCCGCCACCACGCCCGGCTCATTTTTGTATTTTTAGTAGAGACGGGGTTTCACCATGTTGGCCAGGATGGTGTGGATATCTTGACCTCGTGATCCGCCCGCCTCGGCCTCCCAAAGTGCTGGGATTATAGGCGTGAGCCACCACGCCCGGCCAGGGTGGACTCTTAAAGGTAGAGACCCTATGGTAAAGTAATGGAGACTAAAAGTGGGAAAGGACTTCTGCTTCTGGCAACAACAGAGAAACTTTTCCTCTTAAACAACCATAGAACTTGACAAGACATATGAAATAACTGTTTTCAGATGTCAGACAATGGGCAAAATCTGATTCCTGAGAGAAGGAAAACAAACAAGGTGAGCCTAGAAGCACTTTACAAACCTCTGTATCGGGTGCTGATGAAACAGAGATCAGAATTCAGGGCCACTGAGACAGCTGGAATGCAGAGGACATGGTACAGGAGAGGAAAGGGTTGTGTAATCTGTTTGTACAAATACATAATTCCAAGTTGAGAAAAGTGATATAAATGAATGGATAAGAGATCCAGGAATCTGCATAGGAGACCCCTTGAGTCTTTGGCTGAATACTATGCAAGAGACGTGTTAAACAAGACTCCACAAAGCCAAGGAAAGGACTACAGGGGAGCTGTGGGCTGAACAACTATCAGAGGTCCCCCAGCCCTTGGAAATGTTCAAATTTCAACGTGTCTAAGTGGCAGCCTCAGTAAACACTCTCTGAGCATTCAACAGACCCTAGAAAGACCATGCCTTAGGAGGAAGACCACTATAGCCCTAGTAACGGTACTCTACAACACCTGCCCTAACAAAGTTTGAAAGACAAGCCTCAAAACGATCATACTAATGGCTGTTTGCCAAGCATACCATGTAAACCCCTAAGTAATACAGGGTGTTGACTACACTGTTTGTCATTAAGCGATGGCCAGTGTGTATTTACACTACGCTAGGTCAAACTATCTTATTCCAGATCTGCAAGCAAAATCCTAAGTGACCAAGAAATGAACTGGATGAAAAATACATGTGGACTCTGTGTTTTCTCTTATGTGGTATTTTTCAAAACCAAGTCAGAAGGTCTGGTTTGCAAATTCTGCACATTCTTACGAGGAAATGTGAAATTAATTAGTGGAGTTCATTAAGCAAGCTTGAAACTTTTCTCGGTATCTTCACAAATCCCTCAAACACTCATTTGCACACCTAAACTCCTTTCTCCTAATAATACTCTCTTTTACAGTGTGCATTGGTGCGAGGCAATGTGCTGAGTTCTTTACATGCATCATCTCATCTCAACAACTCTATGAGGTGGGATTAATATTACTCATATTTACAGATGAGAAAACAGAGGCTTGAGGAGGTTTGGTATAATGTGCTAAATGTCATACCGGATGGAGGAGTGTTTCTAACCCACAGATGCAGGATTCCAAAGCCAACCACTTATTCACATTCAACCAATACTGAGGTTGAACATATGGAATCTACTCTCACACACTCTCAGAATCCGTTCCCACACAAAAATTCCCACAAAACAGCAATCAGGTAAGTAAATAAATGCCAGACTTTCCTTTATGCTTCATGCCTGGTTCCTTCCTATTCCAGACAGCTGGAGCAAACTAAATTGTATAAATTCTTGTTTTGATATGGGCATGAGTGAGGGGATATGGTAGCATTTTTAAATTATGGGGTCTGAATAACTTTGTTGTGGTATTTTTATCAGAAATGGCAATTTCCAAAGGAGGCCAAGTTCTTTGATACACTCTGCTCTAACCTCTCATCTATAATTTTACTCTAAACATAACTTGCCCTATTGGTTTGGCTAATAATTCAAAGATGCTATAGACATTCCTAAATGTTTAGACCTTCATGAAAGACCTGACTCCTACAAAGGCTCACAATGTAATTTTAAACAAGTCAGTGATTCTTCCTGGGCCTCAGTTTCTTTGACTATAAAATAAGAACTCTGAACTACATTGGCATTTCCTGAATTTCATACCACAAAATACCAGTGCTAAGAGATACTCCTCTCAAAAAAAACGGGTTCCAGGTCAAATAAATAGGAGAAAAGCTACAAACAACAACCCCATTTAAAGATTCATAATCCATTAACAAGGGATAACCTGTTAGCATATTAAAACCCCAGAAAAGTCCTACAGTAAAGAAACTTTAACTTCATTTAATCTCAACATTTCCAAATTTATTGGATCTGAAACCATTTCCTATGGAAAAAAAGTGTATAAGCATCTCATTGGAAGTAACCATGTATTGATTACCTACCATGTGCCAGGACCTGCACTGGGTACTGCAGTGTCTCTAATATCATATTACATCAGGATATCACAGTATCTTAAGTGATACCAATATAATTTATGAGATATATTATATATGGGTATAATATAATATTATACCAATATAAATTATATGGGTATAATTTATAATATAATTATACCCATATAATTAGTATCACTTAAGATGATATTTGAAGAATGAGAAGAGGTCTGCTATAAAGGGCAGGGGAAGGTATTCCAGGCAAAATACCAGCATCTGTGAAAACCTCAGGGTATGAAACTGCTTAACAAGTTAAGAGAATTGAAAGGACAGTGAGACAGATGAGGAGGTGACTCCAGGAGGGACTGGAGAAATTGGCAGGGGCCAGACATGCAGGGGTTCTGGGCCATATAAAAGAGGTTGGTTTTACTCTAAGTACAATGGAAAGTTTAAACTGGGAAGTCACCTGATAGAATGTTTTTCTGTTTTTTTAACCAATTTTATTGTGTATATATTAAGTTTACAATATAATGTTATGGAACACACACAGATAGCAAATGGTTACTATAATGAAGCAAATTAACATACCTATCATCTTACATGTTTACTTTCTGTGACAAAAGCAGCAAAAATCTACCTAACAAAAATCCCTAATACTGTCACAGGATTCTTCGGGTGTCACTTCACCAGCCAGAAACATCTGTGGCCAGTGACGCCTTTGCCCAAGTTTTGCTCAGGCCTGCTGGGCTCATTCCACCCACTTGACCTGCCAGACTGCAGTCAGCTCATGCTTCTGGCCTGGATCCCATGCCTGCCAAGGGCAAGCAAGGCACAGAGCAGTGAGGGGTGTATGAGTGAGCGTGGGGTCTAACTACTGCGCACAGCCAGGCACACTGGCGACTGCGGGACATGCAGCTCCAGGCACTGGCACAGGCGCTGGCTCCCTGCAAGCCTGCAGCTGGACCAGGTGTACTGCAAGCAGCTTCCATGGCTGGCACTGGGAAACACGGTGGCACCTAGAAGCTTGGAGACACCAGAAACCGCAGAGCCCTAAAGAGGGTGTCACAGTCATGGTGCAGATAGCTCCTAGGTCTGGGCTCCCTGAAGGGCTGCAGCTCTTCATTCTTCTTTCCTTCTTCTTACCCACAACATGGCAAGCAAGGGGTGTATTTCAGCCCTATTTGTGTTACAGCTCTTTTAGCCCCACCATTCAGTGAGTCCCAAGTTCTTGTCCTGCATCTAGGAAGAATGAGGTACACAGACAAGTGGAGGGTGAGCAAGGTGAAGAGGAGTTTTATTGGGTGACAGAACAGCTCAGAGGAGACCCACAGAGGGTAGCTCCTCTCCACAGCCAGGGTGTCCCAGTGAGTGTTCAGCTCTGAGCAGAGAGGAGACCCTGGAGTGAGGAGCTCCTCTCTCCACACAGGTTGTTTCGTCATCTACTCAGCTCTCAGCAAAAGGGAGACTCTTGAGCAGGTAGCTTCTCTCCGCAGCTAGCCGTCCCATTGTATCCTCGTCTGGCTGAATCCAGGGCTTTTATGGGCCTCAGAGGGGAGAAAGTGCACACTGATTGGTCCATGGACAGCCATGAGCAGGCCCAGAAAAAGCACCACAAGTTCCCACTTCAGTACATGGGACTGGCAGCCCAGCCCCTAGGCTTCAGACCCTCCCCAGCTTGAAGTTGGGGCTTGTCAGGGGACCCACCCCCTTCCACCCAGGAGCCTGATGCCTCCTGCCACTGTTCATGGTGCCCAGGCTGCTCATGCTAAGGGACACCTGCAGGCCAGCACCAAACTGCCCTCAGCCCCTCCTTGGCCTCCCTCCCATGCTCATCAGTGCCCAAAGTCCAGAGGGGGTGAAGCAGCAGGGGGCTGGTGTATCAGTGCTACCCCGAGCGTGCACATACCCAGCTGGGCTGTGACAATACCAAGGCTCAGCCCCAACCTTGCTCTGAAATCAGAGCAGGCACCAGGAGCAGTGAGAGTCCAGACATTGGAAGCAGACACCCTGAGCCTGCAGGGGCACGGGAGCCTTCCCAGGCCCCCGAGAGTGCAGAGATGCCCAGGTCTGCAGCCGCAACTTGGGTAGCTGCAGCTGTGCCCAGAAGAGTGGGGCTCCTGCCTGCTTCCAGCCCTTGCTGGCTCCATGGAACATGCAGCCCCAGCAGAGCCTCCCACACTGCAACCAGCATCATGGCAGCAGCCACTCCAGATGGGCCACTGCTGCCATCAATACAGTACAATTTTATTAACTTTAGTACTCATATTGTACCTTAGATCTCTAAACTTGTTCATCCTACGTAACTGCTATTTTATAGCCTTTAACCTACATCTCCCCATTTCCCCGCCTCCTCCCCTCCACTCATGGTAATCACTGTTTCATTTTCTAACTCTGTGTATTTGAGCCTATATAAGTGTGTGTGTGTGTGTGTGTGTGTGTGTGTGTGTGTGTGTGTATTCCACATATAAAAGTGAGATCATGCAATATTTCTCTCTCTGCATCTAGCTTATTTCACTTAGTATAATGTCCTCCAGGTCCATCCATGTTGTGGCAAATAGCAGGATTTCATTCTTTTTAAGGCTGAATAATATTCCATCGAATAGGCCAGGCGTGCTGGCTCACTCCTGTATTCCCAGCACTTTGGGAGCCCGAAGTGGGCAGATCACAAGGTCAAGAGTTCAAGACCAGCCTGACCAATATGGTGAAACCTCATCTCTACTAAAAATACAAAAATTAGCTGGGTGTAGTAGCACGCACCTGTAATCCCAGCTACTCAGGAGGCTGAGGCAGGAAACTCGCTTGAACCCAGGAGGTGGAGGTTGCAGTGAGCCGAGATCACACCGTTGCACTCCAGCCTGGGTGACAGAGCAAGACTCTGCCTCAAAAAAAAAAAAAAATCCCATTGAATATATACACATATATATATATACCACATTTTCTTTATCCATTTTTCTGTAAATGGACATTTAGGTTGTTCCATATCTTGGCTATTTTGAATAATGCTTCAGTGATATGGGAGTGCAGATATCTTTACAAGGTGGTCATGTAGTCCCATTTATTTATTTCTGTTTTTGTTGCCTGAGCTTTTGGTAGAATTTGTTTTTTAAAAGGTCACCCTGGCTATCCTATAAAGAACAGCTTGAAGGGGCAGAATACTTCGGAAGAACAAAAAGCTGTATTCATTTTGATTGCTACTGTAATAAATGGCCAAAAATTTAGTGGCTTTGACAATAGCAATTTATTAATATACAGTTCTGTAGGTTTGATGTCTAATATGGGTCTCACTGGGCTAAAATCAAGGTATTGGCACAGCTGCATTCCTTTCTGGGGGCTCTAGAGGTGAATCAATTTCTTGATTATTCAGATTGTTGGCAGAATTCAGTTCCTTGTGTTTTTAGAACTGAGGTCCCTGTTTTCTTGCTGGCTATAAATTGAGGGCCATTCTCAGCTTCTATAGGTCACTGATATTCCTTAGCTTGTGGCTGCCTTCCTCTGTCTTCAAAGTCAGTAACAGTGTGTTGACTCTTTCTCATGCTTCCAATGTCTCCTTCCATTTCATTTGTCTGATTCAGCCAAGAAATGTTTTTTGCTTTTAAGGATGCATGTGATTAAATCAGACCCACCAAGATAATTCCGTATAATCTCATTATCTGAAGGTCTCTATCCTTAAATCACATTGACAAATCCCTTTTGCCATGTAGGATAACATATTCTCAGGTTCTGAGAATTAAGGTGTTGACATCTTTGAGGGGGTAGGGGAAACAGCATTATTCTGCCTACCACAAAAGCTGTGTTAGCAGTTCTAAGTGAGAGATGAGGCCAATTCGACCAGTGTGGTGGCAATGAGAAAAGGTAGACAGATTTCAGGTATGTTTCGAAGACAGAACCAATTGGCTGGTTGGTGATCCTATAGGTGGACGAGTGGGTACAAGAGGAGGGAATCAAGGCTGGCTCCTAAATTCCTGGCCTTTCAGGCTCATCAGCTGAGTGTCAGGGAATGCCTTTCAAAAAATAAAGAAGTCTGGGAGTGAAACCAATTTTAGAGAAAAATTCAAGAGTTCTGTTTTCTATGGGACACACCTAGAGAAACATTAACCAGATTATCTCTGGGATCTCTTACCACTTTAACATTCTAAGAAGTCACTAAAAATATTTTCTCCATTCAGAAGCCATTGTGCCACAATTTTTATAACTAATATCTATTCCTATTATCTTAGGCAATATAATATATATCCAAGAGTAACTTGTTACTGACTCAACACATCCTTTGAAGTCGAAGGAAGCTCAGTATGTTATCTATTACTGTGTAAAAAATTATCCCAGGCCAGGCACAGTGGCTCATGCCTATAATCCCAGCCCTTTGGGAGGCCGAGGCGGGTGGATCACCTGAGGTCAGGAGTTCGAGACCAGCCTGACCAATATGGTGAAACCCCATATCTACTAAAATTACAAAAATTAGCCAGGAGAAGTGGTGTGCCCCTGTAGCCCCAGCTACTTGGGAGACTGAGGCAGAAGAATCACTTGAACCTGGGAGGTAGAGGTTGCAGTAAGCCAAGATCATGCCAATGTGCTCCAGCCTGGACGACAGAGTGAAACTCCATCTCAAAAAAAAAATTAGCCCAAAATTTAACAGCTTAAAACAATAGTTTCTGTGGGCCAGGAATCTGAACATGATCCTCTGCTTCATGGTCTCTCATGAGGCTGTAATCAAACTATTAGCCAGTGCTGAGGTCTCGGTTGAAAGTTCAACTGGGGAAGAATCCAATCTCAAACTCAATTAAGGGGTTACTGGCAGTATTCAGTTGCTTGAGTGTTGTACCGAGGGCCTCAATTACTTTCAGGCTGCTGACCAGAGGCCACCCTCAGCTTCTTGCCATGTGGACCTCTACACCATGGCAGTTTATTTCATCAAAGCTAGCAAGAAAAAGAAAGTCTACAAACAAGTCACCATATTTTATAACCTAATTATGGAAATGAAATGCCCCCAACATTGTCATAGTCTATGAGTTAGAAGCAGGTTACTTAGGAGGAGGGAATTAAATAAGACTATGAATACCAGGAGACCGGAATCATTGGGAGCCATCGTAGAGGCTGTGGACCACACTTGGGGTTTGAAGAACTCAAAGAAGAGATAAAGGAAAATGAAAGTGGAAAGGGAAAGTGAGAAAGGTAACCTTCATCTTCTCAATTTTTTAGGGCTGCAATCTTAAAACAGTATCCTCAGCCAGTAGAGTGCTCCCTGAAGAGGTGATTAGGAAACTAGTTAAGAGGTAGAAAAGGATAGCCTGAGAAAGATTGCAAGTCAGTTTGGCAGTAACTTCTAAAGATTATAGCTGGAAAATAAGATTAGGACAAGTTATTTTTAAATATTTGCAATTCAAAATTAATTTACTAAAAAAAGACTTTTAGCAGAATTGGAACAAAAGTACAAGATGTAAAAAAAAAAAAGTAATATTTTGAAAAACACACTAATCAGTTCCCAGCAATAATAATAAAAATATAGTAAGTAATTTCTAATGGAAATCTCTTAAAAACAGAATGCTTCATTCCATTATTGGGTATATACCCAAAGAAAAATAAATCATTCTATGAAAAAGTCATATGCATTCATATGTTTATCACAGCACTATTTACAATAGCAAAGACATGGAACCCTAGGTGCCCATCAACAGTGGATTGGATAAAGAAAATGTGGTATATACACACCATGGAAAACTACCCAGCCATAAAAAAAAAAGAATGAAATCATATCCTTTGCAGCAACGTGGTGCATCTGGAGGCCATTATCCTAAGCAAATTAATACAGAAACAGAAAACCAAATACCTCATGTTCTTTCTCACTTACAGGTTGGAGCTAAGCATTGGGTAGGCATGGACACAAAAATGGGAACAATACATGCTGGGGAGTACTAGAGGGGAGCAAGGACTGAAAAACTATCTGTGGGGTACTATGCTCAGTACCTGGGGGACAGTATCATTCATATCTCAAACCTCAGCATCACACAATACACCCATGTAACAAACCTCCACGTGTACCCCCAAATCTAAAATAAAAGTTAAAATTATTTTTCTAAAAAATAGAATGCTTCCAAATCCTGCCATTTTGTACATTATCTCACACGTTGCCTTTTTTAAAAAAGCAGAAATAAGGGGAAGAACCACTTCCCTGATCTTCTTAAGAAGCATCTGTGCCTATTACCATGGTCTTCCTTTTTCCCTTTCTCTTTTCATTTCTTTGACTTTAAGATTACTTGAGTATTACTTTATTGAACTAACAGTCTTATAACTTCAATTGTAAAAAAATCAATAAAAGTAGATGAATATAATAATAATAATATAACAATATAGGTTTCATTAGTTATAATCAATGTACCATATTAATATGTTAATAATAGGGTAAACTGGGTGCAGGGTATATGGGAATTTTCTGTACTGTCTTTGTATTTTTTGTAAATCTAAACTGTTTTTAAAATAATGTTTATATTTTTATGAAAATTTCAAAATAAATACTATTCATAGAAGTGGAGAAAAAGTAGACAACTCAAGTGTTCTAATTTCCTTTCCATATATTGGCAACAACTCTTCATTGCATTGGAATAGGTGCCCAGGCTGGGGCTTGATATTATGAGGACTGCTCTGGGACCTCGCCTGCAACAGGACCCTCAGTGGACAGAATACAGACTGAGGTCCAGAGATCTGAAAGCACATCCCATGTTTAGAAAACCCATTTAACTCCTCATTCCCTAAGCTAGCAGTCTGAAATAATACCCTAGGGAAACCTTTCTAGAAAAATATCTAAGAAATGATAAAAGCTGTATGCACAGATCTGTTGCATTATTTACAACATTGGAAAAATTAGAAGCAACTAAGTATTCAATAATAGGAGTATAGTCAATTGCCTTATGGACAGTCTACTCACTGAGATGTTATATAGCCATTAAATGATTATGAAGATAGTGTCACATGAGAGAAAAAGGTTATTATATACTTATGATATAAGATGGGTGTTTTTAAATCAAAACACAAAATGCACATAGTATGTAAGTGTAACTTTTTTCTATGACCATCCAAAAGATCCAGATTATTAATCTTATAAATAACTCCCTTCCTTTAGGGTGTCAAATACATATTACACACCAGGCAGTGTTCTTTTTCTACATGTACCATATCTTGAAAGTGGATTCTTGACACAGAGTTATAGTAAGTACTTTAAATAACAGGTAATACAATCTGACCCACATTGGATTGGAGAGTCATCTGGATGGGCAAACTGACTGGTAAGGTAAGCAGACCCTCTTCCCAAATAGCAGCATGTACTTCTTTTCCCTAAGTTATGCTTTAGTACTAAGAGAAAAATTATTATTCAATCATCCATTCAGCAAACATTTTTTGAGCATCTACTAGATGCTAGATACTCTGTGAAATGCTGGTAATTCAATGGTTAGCAAAATTTATATGGTTCTTGACCTCATAGAATTTATAGTCTAGTGGGAGATATAAATAACCCCACCCAGGAGTTGTGTTCCTACTATGAAAGGAAATACAGAGTGCTATGAAAGAATATTATCAAACGACATGGTTTAGATGGAGAAGCATTTTTGCTCAAAGATACAGCACACATCAAGCACTGTCTTTGTGGGCTACAATGCTGAGGACAAGGCAAGTCTTTTATTTTAATTATATTTAAATTCTAGGGTACATGTGCACAACATGCAGGTTTGTTACATAGATATACATGTGCCATGTTGGTGTACTGCACCCATTAACTCATCATTTAGCATTAGGTATATCTCCTAATGCTATCCCTCCCCACTCCCCCCACCCCACCACAGGCCCTGGTGTGTGATGTTCCCCTTCCTGTGTCCATGTGTTCTCATTGTTCAATTCCCATCTATGAGTGAGAACATGCGGTGTTTGGTTTTTTGTCCTTGCGATAGTTTGCTGAGAATGATGGTTTCCAGCTTCATCCATGTCCCTACAAAGGACATGAACTCATCCTTTTTATGGCTGCATAGTATTCCATGGTGTATATGTGCCACATTTTCTTTATCCAGTCTATCATTGATGGACATTTGGGTTGGCTCCAAGTCTTTGCTACTGTGAATAGTGCCACAATAAACATACGTGTGCATGTGTCTTTATAGCAGCATGATTTATAATCCTTTGAGTACATACCCAGTAATGGGATGGCTGGGTCAAATGGTATTTCTAGTTCTAGATCCTTGAGTAATCGCCACACTGTCTTCCATAATGGTTGAACTAGTTTACAGTCCCACCAACAGTGTAAAAGTGTTCCTATTTCTCCATATCCTCTCCAGCACCTGTTGTTTCCTGACTTTTTAATGATCACCATTCTAACTGGTGTGAGATGGTATCTCATTGTGGTTTTGATTTGCATTTCTCTGATGGCCAGTGATGATGAGCATTTTTTCATGTGTTTTTTGGCTGCATAAATGTCTTCTTTTGAGAAGTGTCTGTTCATATCATTTGCCCACTTTTTGATGGGGTTGTTTTTTTCTTGTAAATTTGTTTGAGTTCTTTGTAGATTCTGGATATTAGCCCTTTGTCAGATGAGTGGATTGCAAAAATTTTCTCCCATTCTGTAGGTTGCCTGTTCACTCTGATGGTAGTTTCTTTTGCTGTGCAGAAGCTCTTTAGTTTAATTAGATCCCATTTGTCAATTTTGGCTTTTGTTGCCATTGCTTTTGGTGTTTTAGACATGAAGTCCTTACCCATGCCTAAGGACAAGGCAAGTCTTAAATGTCTATTCACCTCATTCACAAAGATTTACAATAAAGTCCTGCAAGTCCTGCTGTAGGTCTTCCAAGCAAAGATCCATGAACCACCTAACTTCTCAACTTGCCCATAATTTCACTAAATGCTCCAGCTTCTTAGAAACATTCTCATCTCATGTTTCCTAGAGTTGGCCTCACATTTAATCTTGGAAAAGATTTTTCTGGCCACTACAGGCCCAAATTCCTTATTTTTTTCACTCTTCTAATGAGAGGTAGTGGGGGGAGGGAGGAAAAACAGCTACAGAAATGCTAGGCATATAGAACATTTATAGCTAGTCTACCTGGCATCCTACCCCCTTCCTCTGGCATGACGCTGATAATCGTTTGGGGACCTAGTCCTTCCGCACTCTCAGCCTGATGGACTGGATAAGGCAACCTTCCCAGAACCATGGGTGAAGTACACAACTTAGCCCAAAGTCAGCCCAGGCATCATTCAGGAGCAAGCATTGGCCAATCCAATGGGAAGCACATCTCAGACCTTGTGCTCAGAATAGTGAGATATGGAATCTTGCTCTATTTCATTGGTTTTAAACCTAGCAGGATTAGCTCTAGGAACTGCTGACAGCCATCTTGTAATTATAAAAAGAGGGCCTGCCTGAGAATAGATTGAACACACAAAAAGCTATGCTGAGAGATGGAAAAAAAAGAAATAGACCCTGATAACAGTTTGAGCTCCAGACTCCAGGCCAGTTTTTCCTTGCATGTCCTACATCTGGTCCATGGAAAATACTCTTGGTATTTGCCCAACAAACACTGGAAAAAGAGGCCACCCAACAAAGACACATCTCCTTCACTCCTGGTGTCAGAACAGCTAACAGACTGGTCTCCATCTCTTAGATTTTCCTTGTAATCATCAGACACTAGTCCACTATGTTCCTTTAACCACAGAGGGCACATATCAAAGTTCTCCATGCCACCTATTAAATCTCCTTTTCTCTTGACTTGAGATGAAGAAATAAGCACCCTCCCAATTCACCTCCTTGGAGATGATAGGACTTAGCACAACTCTTTCCAAAAAAAAAAAAAAAAAAAAAATCCTTACAAATCTTGAGATAATCTCTACTCTCTCAACCCTTTCATGACCTTTAAGTGGGTGAGGGATTCAAGAATCACATAACCAGTTCTTAGTTTACTCCTTTGGAAATTCTACATACAAACTGCCTCCTGCTTTAGAATGCAACATTAACTGTATCCTTGGATCTTGGAAGAAACTTCCATTTTAACATTCTGTTACAAATGTGAACATCACCTATCACATATTTCACAGGGGAAAAAAACTGAAAACTGCTTCAATGTTTTCACATTTCCTACAGATTCCAAAATGAGAAGCTTGACCCTGAAATAATTGTAGGTGAGAACCAAGTTCATATTTTCAGTATGTGGGGAATTTTGAAGGGTTTAGAGGAAAGCAATCAAGATGATTAAGGATATGAAAATTAAGGATAAAGGAATTACAGTCTCTTAAAATCAAATGTTTAACTATAGTCCTCCTATATAAGAATTAGTACACCCCAGTGTAGGTTACCAAGCTAGTTCATCTAAACTCATAACAAGTTTGACTTGGCTATAAGAGAAATTGCCTAAATCTTGGCAGAAAGAATTATTAACTATTTTAATGAGTTACCAATGGAGGCCATGCATCTTCCTTTGGGGTTTTTTTTTTTTAAAAAAAGAAGAGCCTCGCTTTAGGGTAGTTTAGCAGAATTATTAAAAAGTCAAAAAATAACAGGTGCTAGCAAAGTTGCAGAGAAAAAGGAAGGCTTATACACTGTTGGTGAGAGTGTAAATTAGTTCAACCATGGTGGAAAACAGTGCAGTGATTCCTCAAATACCTAAAAAGAGAACTACC
Source organism: Homo sapiens (assembly GCF_000001405.40). Classification (NCBI taxonomy): domain Eukaryota; kingdom Metazoa; phylum Chordata; class Mammalia; order Primates; family Hominidae; genus Homo; species Homo sapiens. The sequence continues at coordinate 91,810,369 of NC_000007.14, forward strand.
ATTAAACCCAGTAATCCCCTTGCTGGGTATATATACCCAAAGGAATATAAACCGTTCTATCATAAAGACACATGCACGTGTTATGTTCACTGCAGCACTATTCACAACAGCAAAGACATAAAATCATCCTAAATGTCTGTCAATGGTAGACTGGATAAAGAAAACGTAGTACATATAAACTCTGGAATACTATGCAGTCATTTAAAAAAATGAGATCATGTCCTTTGCAGTAACATGGATGCAGCTGGCAGCCATTATCCTTAGCAAACTAATGCAGGAACAGAAAACCAAATACCAGATGTTCTCACTTTATAAGTGGGAGCTAAATGATGAGAACAAACAGACACATAGAGGGGAACAACAGACACAGGTGCCTACTGGAGAGTGGAGGGTGGAAAAAGGAAGAGGATCAGGGAAAATAATTAATGAGTACTAGGCTTAGTACCTGGGTGACAAAACAATCTGTACAATAAACCCCCATGATACAAGTTTACCTATATAACAAATCTGCACAGGCACCCCTGAACTTAAAAGTTAAAAAATAATAAAAATAAAGTAATTTAGCAGAAATCTTGCTCTAAAACAGGGATGTGATCACTTTAATACATCGTGAACCTTCTGAATGTATGGCCATCATTGATTCTCCCACTCAGGTTTCTTCCAGTCTGTTATTGGTGTCCTTTGCTCTGATCTCCTTTCGTTTATTCTGTGTACCTCCTGTTTCCCAACATCCAGTACAAGGTATTTCTGGGAGGCAGTATTCCTGGGAGTGATCTTCTGACAACTGTTTAGAACAGTTTAGAACAAGAAGTGAAGACAAATTCTCCATCCATGACTGAAACACAACACTATACCTTGATCTATGGTTTTGAAAGGCTTTGAGATGTTTTCTCATTTGTGCCACCCACGGAATTTCCTTCTAAAGTCTGAGCTTGGTTTTCATATCCTATAGAATTCTGCAGTTGGAGAAAGCCTTCAAAAGTTGTAAGAGTCTGCCAATTTCTGGAAGGTTTTTACTGGCTGCAAGTTATGATTGTAATTATCTACGTGCTGTTCAGTTTAGCATGCCAAGAGATATTTCTAAAATGATCTCCCTCTGGTTTTGCAGGGTTATCTAGAATAATAATGTAAAAACCGCACAACAGTGTGGGAGACAGAAGATAAGGTCAGAGGAAAATAGGTCAAGCAACCTAAAAAACAGTGAATAAAGACTTCTATGCTTTTGTCACACATATTCTCCCCCTACTCTTCAACTATGGTATGTATTATCCCTGCATATTGGCTTTCCAACTGTGGTTAAGGAGTTCTGATGTGTGTGTGTGTGTGTGAGAGAGAGAGAGATCTCACATATATGAATTGCTGGCAAGCGAGACATGTCTCCAAACCTCAATGAAGGAAAAAAAAATATTTTGGAGGAAAGAAACTGATATTTGTATATATAGCTAGATACCTATACATCACACTCTCAGCTTACTATTTCTTTCATCATCCTGAGTCCCTGCAGCAAATGTATGCCCAGCACCACAGACCATTTTTTTCTCTATCTCAGGAATTCTGGTTTATTCCATACATGGAAAGTGAACCATATCACGAGTTTGCAATGTAAAAACTTCATGTGTAGGGAAATGCAATGTTCATCATTGTCTTCAGCAGAACCAAACAGGTCACATGGGAGAGTACATTTAAGAAAACTTAAATGATAATGTATTGACTGAGAAGATTAAATGATCCAACCTGATATTTCTGCAAGACCTAATTTAAAGGGCCAAGGTGTCATTCCAGAAAATCAAGTTTAAAAGAAAAGGGGCTTATTTTTATAATCCGTCTTTCCTCAGTAAGGTTGATTTTTATAGCCACAGGCTTCTCAGCCAGCTGGTGTGTCTAATGATGACCCTGAGGAGACAACAACATGGGTCTACATTTCTCCATCTCTATTTGCAAAATGCAGCCAAATTAGTTCTAGAAGCTGTCTGGGAAGGGGACTCTTCCCAAAGAGGCTGATACTCAACTCTCTGGTCAGCAACATCCTCCAGAAACGGGCAGACAGCCTACAACCCAATACCCCCAAAGGAGCAAAAATGGTGCCATGAAATTCCCCCTCAGTCTAGGAAGAAGGAAAACACATCCACCACCCTATTAAACAGCTCAGATTTTCATTAATACTCAGAAGTCCCAGGGTTCCTTTCTGAACCTCAGCTGCCTCGTCTATAAATAGAAAGGCTTGCTCAATTTGTCCCTTCCTGCTCTAACATGCTGCGATTCTGCTCCCTGACCTAACAATTTCTGTTCCACCATACACACTTTTATGATCCCTTCCCCTGCATTTCTCTTTTCTACTGCCAGCCACAGAGCCAGGCTCTCATACCCAGTAGGACACCTCTCTGATTTATTAAGCCAAAAGCCATATAATCTCTCTGCCTTTCTAATACACTGTTTTAGCTTTAGGCTGAATTGAAAACCAAACACTTAAGCTATAGAACACAAAATTCACCAAAAATGTATCTCATATCAAAAGCACAGCAATAAGTCTTTGTTGATCCTGCTGATCTTCCAAGTTTCTATTCAATTTCTCTCCTTTTTGCCAAATTTAATTATATGGTCTACATGACATCATCTCTCTTACTGTCACTAAACTGTCACCAAATCCCTTCATAAACACCTGATGAGACTTCCTCTGACAACACTCCACTGAAATATTTCTCTTGAAGGTCACTAATTACTAAATCTAAATCCAAAACTGATTAGCTTTTCTCAGTCCTCATTATTCTCCATCCTTTTCCAACATTTGGCACAATGATCTATTTTTGAAAAATTATTTCCTCCCTTAGATTCTGTGACACCGTATTATCCAGGTGTTCCCTTCTGTGGCTGCTACTTCTCCGTCTCCTTCACTGGTTCAACTTTTGTCTGCTAGATTTTTCCATTTTTAACTCTATACCTAATTCCTCTAAAAAAAAATGCATCTACTTCCATGTCTTCAATTATCATCTCTATATTGATAATTTACAAATAGACATCTGTGACTTTCAAGTCTGTAGCTCTGAGCTCCATAGGTTTGGTGACTGAGATTACTTCCTTAAATATTCTGTCCTAATTTTCAAATCAGCATATCCAAAGGGGAAGGCTTTACCTTCCCAGCCTTTAAGCCAGTTGCTCTCTACAACTTCTCTATTTGGTCAGTACAAACACCATTCTAGAGACCTGGAAACATTCACTTTACACTTTATTTAGTAAATATGAACTGATTACCGCTTTTATTCCAGGCATAATACTAAATACTAGGAACACAAAGATAAGACAAAGTCCTTGTCCTTCAAGGGTTTCCTCCTCTGCTTGCTGTACTGCGTATTATTCCATGATCCCTTTTATTTGAGCTCATATTTTCCCCTAAATCATCACTCCTTCGACTTGCACTCTTTCTGCCCATTATACCTCTCTTGGCCTCCTTACTTATACTCAAAATTCAAAGCAATACTTCATTTCTTCTTCTTGCTTCATATACTATTGGTCTCTAGGTTCTATCAAATTCCCTTCATAATATTATTCTTACTCAATAATAAACATTTACTGAGTGTCTGCCAAATCTGATCACTGTGCTCAGCAAGGAGAATACAATGATAAACAAGACACAAAGTATTTGCCTTCAGTGACTTCAGAGTCTTATATAAGAAAGATAAACCAGCTGGTCATGGTGGCTCATGCCTATAAACCCAGCATTTTGGGAGGCTGAGGCAGGTGGATCACCTGAGGTCAGGAGTTTGAGACCAGGTTGGCCAACATGGTGAGACCCCATCTCTACTAAAAATACAAAAAAATTAGCCAGAAAAAAAATAGCAAGGAAAGGAAAGGAACCAATCATTACAATGTGGCAGGGTAGGTGTTAACGATGTCCCTAAGAAGGAGGCCCCTAACCTGACTTGGCAGACTCAGATCAGGCTTCTCAAAGAAAATGATACTTGAGCTGAGCTGTAAGTATCATGTGGTATGAGCCTATCAGACTGGAGCCTTCTTGACAGGACAACAGCAGCTGATTCAGTAGAACTGAAGTATGAGCACATGGAGTGAGAAGTGAGAGATGAGACTAGGAAAGTAGAAATGAATCACCTCAACATACAGGTCATTGTGTGTTATGGGTTGAACTGTGTCCCCCAAAAGATATGCTAAAGTCCTAATCCCCAATACCTGTGAATGTGACCTTATTTGGAAAAGTTAAGATGAAGTCATTAGGTGGAGCCCTAATCTAATCTGACTGTTGTTTTTATAAGAAGAGGAAAATGTCATGTGAAGACAGAGACACAGAGATAACCCCACATGACAACGGAATCAAAGACAGAAGTATTGAAGCTGCAAGCCAAGGAACACCTGGGTTACCAAAAGCTAGAAGAGGCCAGAAAGGATACTCTGTTAGCAGCTTCAGAGGAAGCATGGCCCTGTCAAGAACTTCATTTTGGACTTCTGGCCTCCAGATCTGAGAGAGAATTTCGGTCATTTTAAGACACCAAGTTTTTGGTACTTGGTTATAGAAATATAAGCTAATACAGTGTGCAATACCAAGAAATGTACATTCACATTCATTTTTATGCCCCATTCCAGCACTTGGCATAAAAATTCACCTCACATACTGATCAATAATTACCTGGTCAATAAAAAAGTACTTAGTTTCCACCTCCATATCCTCCTATCTAAATTGCTCTATTTTGACTATTCTAAGATTAAAAAATTGTACAGATTTTAATATCTCTAAAATAGGCATATACCCTACAGTCTATAGCATCTTACCCTCAGTGATGTCCTACAATTGCTGCTGGTCCAGAATGAAACTGAGTTCTCCAAGTTCTTCCAAATCTTCCAGAGAGGATTTGCCTTTGTATCTGTCAGGTCCAATAGCACTACCACCCTGAAACTTGTTTAAATTAAATTATCTGCTTGAGGCTTGTGTTGTTCTTGGTGGTGGTGGTCCTGTATTGGTGCTAGTTTGTGTCTTGTGTGTGTGTGTGTGTATGTATTTCATTCTACTCTGGTAGAATAGATTCAGATCACAAATCTGAGTAAGAATTGATTAACAGTTCAAATTCTCAGAGTATTCTATTCCCTTCACATAATACCAAGGTTATAATTATAAATATAATTATATAATTATATAGAATTAAGTTATTTATATAATAATTAAGCATAACATCTTGTTGTTGCCCCTCTATGCATGTTAAGTTTGTTTCTCATTTTCTCTTAAATGGAAATCTAAGCCCTCTGGTGTCTCAGGTCTCGGACTAAAAATCCTATCTTGGGCACATTTTCTTACTTAGCAATACATAAAATAATATCATCTTCCAAATGATGGTGTCTTCTGTTTGCTAAAATATGGTACCATGAGTACACCATGTCCTTTCCAATCTGCTCTGTGTTCTCTGTTGGACTAATGTTCCTAAACCAGGGCTGCCATAACATCACCCCTATCAAATTCCTATAATAGTTCCTTATTCTCCTGAAACAAGTCTAAATTCTCAAGAATCAACAATATGGAGGAGTAAAAAATTATATAAACTTGAACAAATAATTTCGCTTTTAAAGCCTGTTTCCCGTCTGTAAGGTGGACATAAGAATGCCGAGATCACAGAACATTAGTTATCTGTTGCTTTGTTTTATTAACCACTCTAAACTTAGAAGCTGAAAACAACAATCATTTATTTTGCTCAGAAATCTGCAATTTGGACAGAGGCTCAGTGGTAAAAACTTGTCTCCACACCATGTGGCATCTGTTGGGAAGACTCAAAGGCTAGGGGCTAGAATCATCTGAAAGCTCACCCACTCACATGTCTTGCAGGTGATGCTGGCTGTTGGCTTGGCCTCAGCTGGAGTCTCCCATTGTGACTGCTTGGCTTACTCACAGCATGGTGGCTGAGTTCCAAGATCAAGTGTCCCCAGATAAAGGCTGTATCACCTTTTATGACTTAGCCTTGGAAGTCACACTGTATCACCTCTACCATATTCTATTGGTCAATTCACGGCTAAGATTAGAATAGATTCAAGGGGTAGACATAGACTCCATCTCTCAATGGGAAGAGTGTCAAAGAAGTTGTAGATATGTTTTAAAACATATAAGGTTTTACAAATACCACATGTTCTAACTTATAAGTGAGAGCTAAACGTAGAGTACACATGGATGTAAAGGAGGGAACAATAAATACTGGGGCATATTTGAGGGTGGAGGGTAGGAAGAGAGTGATGATTGAAAAACTACCTATCAGGCCAGGCGTGGTGGCTCACTCCTGTAATCCCAGCAATTTGGGAGGCCAAGGCAGGTAGATCACTTGAGATCAGGAGTTTGAGACCAGGCTGGCAAGCATTAGTGAAACTCCATCTCTACTAAAAAATACAAAAATTAGCTGGGCATAGTGGCAGGCACCTGTAATCCCAGATACTCAGGAAGCTGAAGCAGGAGAATCGCTTGAGCCCAGGAGGCGGAGGTTGCAGTGAGCCAAGATCGTGCCACTGCACTCCAGCCTGGGTGACAGAGCGAGACTCCATCTCCAAAAAAAAAAAAAAGTATCGGGTATTATGCTCATTACCTGGATGACAAAACTATCTGTACACCAAAGCCCTGTGACATGCAATTTACTCATGCAACAAATCTGCACATGTACCCCTTGAACCTAAAAGTTGGAAAGAAAAATAATAACAATTTTTAAATATGTAAGATTTTAATAACGTTAAATAAGGTTATTGGGAAAACTAGGCAAGAAAACATACATGAAGTTCCTAGCATTTTACAACGCCCACCCCGACTCCCTACCCATTCTTCATAAAATGGCCAAGTTTAGACTGTAGACTCAAAATGCATGGTGAATCTTGGTTTCCCCCATTCACTGGGTTGTTGATCTTAGACAAGTTATTTAATCTCTCCATTCCTCACTCAATCTGAAAAATGCAGGCATAATATTACTTTCCTTGTGGGGCTATGAGGGTTAAATGAGATAATTACTGTAAAGCACTTAGCACAGTGTCTGTCACTATTGTTATAGTTTTTTGTTGTTGTTGTTGTGTTGTTGTTGTTACTGTTACTGTTATTGATGCTGCTATCATCTATCAAAACATTGTACAAAAAAGTCCAAGGGCAGGGCAAGTAGAGGAGGAAGCTGAGTAATTAAGAGAAGGGTCAGGTAGCTACCAGTTGGTCTATGACACAGGTATCAGGACTACCAAGCAGGGTCTGGGGCAAGTAGGGCAGAACAAGAGCACAGGTGAGAAAGCTGCATTAAATCAGGCTGTCAGGGCAGGGAGGGGCTGGCAATGACATCGGAATGACATTGGATGATCTATTCTAAAGTGGCTAATCATGGGACCAAAGTCTGAATAGAAGAAAGAGAAGGTAAGCAAGGTACCATTTATTGGTGCCAGAGACAACAAACAGCGAGAACAATTGTCCAAGGAGTTATGGGGAAGAGATCCCCTTCCTTCCTGTCCCCTTTTAAAGCAGTTACAGACTTTCATTGTGGACTCAGCCAATTATAGGGAGGGGAAGGTGAATGTCAAATCCCACAGGGCTGGATTCTGTCTTCTTCAAACTGGGAGTTCTTCAATTCTATTTCTGAAAGGAGTAGAGCTGTTTCTGGGGAATACAATTCCTATAATATCCATTCTGTGACCTAGTGTGTCCTCTTAAATGTCATCCCACACACCATGACATTGCCCATGTTGGTTCCCTCACTTGAAATGCTTTCCTTCCTGGAATTACAGAATGAGAGGTACTTTAGAGGGCATCCGCTTCAACCTCTCAGTCAAGACTGACTTCTCTCCTGTGATGTTCCTAAACATCTGTGATCAGCCCAGCCTTTTGCGGGAGGGAGAGCGGTGAGATGCGGTCTTACTATTTTGGCCAGGGTGGTCACAAACTCCTGGGCTCAAGCAATTCTCACACCTTAGCCTCCCAAGTGCCTGGGAATACAGGTGCATGCCATACCCAGTTTCCAGGCTCTATTTAACTACAGCCCATGAAGTAACTCATCCCTCAGTTAAGCAGCCTGTTCCATTAATAGTTCTAACTGCAGTGTGATGAGGAGGGAGCATGAGCCTTGTACTTGGGTTCGAATTCTACCTTCACCATTGATGACATTTGTAAGTTTTCCTCTCTAAATTTTAGGCTTCTGTTCTATAAAATAAAGATGACAATTCTATCTCCTTAATTCCACAAACGGCGAGAACTTTATTTTTTTCACTGTTCTATTACTAGACTTAGAACGGTACTTGCACCATAATCAGTCTTTCATAAATAGTTCCTAAATATAATGACAGTTATGATAATGAAACAAAATGAGGTATAGAAAGCTGCTAGCATGGCGCTAGCTCATGGTAGGCACTCAATAAACAGTTCTCATCTCACTGTGAATCAAAATTTGCTTTCTAATTACTTCTACCACTTAAACTCAGTTCTAACCCCTTGATGCAACATTCAAGAAATGTAATTCCATTTCTACTAAGAACCCATCAAATATTTGAAGACAATTACAAAGCCCTATGAAATTTTGTTTTTTCTAAACAAAAGTTTTGTTTTGTCATAGGCAGAAATTTAGATAGAAACACAAATATATGTGTGTGTTTTATATACATTTACGAAAAAACAAAACTTTTTTATAATTTCAATAGTCTTTTGGGGAAAAGGTGGTGTTTGGTTACATGAACAATTCCTTTAGTGATGATTTCTGAGATTTTGGTGCACCTACCTCTCACCTAAGAAGTGTACACTGTACTCAATGTATAATCTTTTCTCCCTCACCTCCCTCCACCTTTTCCCCCAGAGTCCCCAAAGTCCATTATATTATTCTTATGCCTTTGGGTTCTCATAGCTTGGCCCCCACATATGAGTGAGAATATACAATGTTTGGTTTTCCATTCCTGAGTTACTTCACTTAGAATAATTGTCTCCAATTCAAACCAGGTTGCTGGGAATGCCATTAATTTGTTCCTTTTTATGGCTGAATAGTATTCCATGGTATATATATAGATATATAGATATCAATTTTCTTTATCTACTAGGGCTGGTTCCATATTTTTGCAGTTGAGAATTGTGCTGCTATAAACATGTGTGCGCATGTATCTTTTTCATATAATGACTTCTTTTCCTCTGGGTAGATACCCAGTAGTAGAATTGCTGGATCAAATGGTAGATCTACTTTTAGTTCTTTAAGGAATCTCCATACTGTTTTCCATAGTGGTTGTACTACTTACATTCCCACCAGCTGTGTAAAAGTGTTCCCTTTGCACCATATCCACATCAACATCTATTATTTTTAGATTTTGTGATTATGCCATTCTTGCAGGAGGAAAGTGGTATCACATTGCTGTTTTGATTTGCATTTCCCTGATCATTAGTGATGTTGAGCAATTTCCTATATGTTTGTTGTCCATTTGTTTATCTTCTTTTGAGAATTGTTTATTCATGTCCTTAGCCCACTTTTTGATGGGAAATTTTGGGTTTTTTTCTTGCTGATTTGTTTGAGTTCCTTATAGATTCTGGATGTTAGTCCTTTGTCAGATGTATAGATTATGAAGATTTTCTCCCACTCTGTGGGTTGTCTGTTTACTCTGCTGATTGTTTCTTTTGCTGTGCAGAAGCTTTTTAGTTTAATTAAGTCTCATCTATTTATCTTTGGTGTTGTTGCATTTGCTTTCGGATTTTTGGTCATGAAGTCTTTGCCTAAGCCAATGTCTAGAAAAGTTTTTCCAATGTTATCTTTTAGAAGTTTTATTATTTCAGGTCTTACATTTAAGTCTTTGATCCATCTTGAGTTGATTTTTATATAAGTTGAGAGATGAGGATCCAGTTTCATTCTTCTACATGTGGCTTGCCAGTTACCCCAGCACCATTTGTTGAATAGGCTGTTCTTTCCCCACTTTATGTTTTTGTTTGGCTAGTCTAAGATCAGTTGGCTGTAAGCAGTTGGGTTTATTTCTGGATTCTCTATTCTGTCCCATTGGTCTATGTGCCTATTTTTATACTAGTACCATGCTGTTTTGGTGACTATAGCCTTATAGTATAGTTTGAAGTTGGGTAGGGTAATGCCTCTATATTTGTCCTTTCTACTTAGTCTTGCTTTGGCTATGAGGGCTCCCTTTTTGTTTCATATGAATTTTAGGATTTTTTTTTCTAGTTCTGTGAAGAATGATGGTGGTACTTTTATGGGAATTGCATTGAATTTCTAGATTGCTTTTGGAAGTATGGTCATTTTCACAATATTGATTCTACCTATCCATGAGCATGGGATGTGTTTCCATTTGTTTACATTGTCTATTATTTCTTTCAGCAGTGTTTCATACTTTTCCTTGTAGAGGTCTTTCACATCCTGGTTAGGTATATTCCTAAGTGTTATATTGTATTTACTTATGTATTTATTTATGCAGCTATTGTGAAAGGGGTTAAGTTCTGGATTTGATTTTCAGGATGGTCACTGTTGGTGTACATTAATTTTATATCCTGAAACTTTGCTGAATTCATTTACCAGTTCTAGAAGCTTTTTGGAGGAGTCTTTAGGGTTTTCTAGGTATACAATCATATCATCAGCAAACAGTGACAGTTTGACTTCCTCTTTACTGATTTGGATGCTCTTTATTTCTTTCTCTTATCTGATTGGTCTGGCTAGCACTTCCATTACTATGTTGAATAGAAGTGGTGAGAGTGGGCATCCTTGTCTTGTTCCAGCTCTGAGGGGGAATGCTTTCAACTTTTCCCCATTCAGTATAACGTTGGCTTTTAATAGATGGCTTATAATGGATGGCTTTTATTACATTAAGGTATGTCCCTTCTATGCCGATTTTCTGAGAGTTTTAATAATGAAGGGATGCTGGATTTTGTCAATGCTTTTTCTGCATCTATTGAGATGATCGTATGATTTTTGTTTTTAATTCTATTTATGTGGTATATCACATTTATTGAAATCCACTTGATCATGGTGGATTATCTTTTTGACATGCTGTTGGATTCAGTTAGCTAGCATTTTGTTGAGGAGTTTTGCATCTATGTTCATCAGGGATATTGGTCGGTACTTTTCTTTATTAGTTATTTCTTTTCCTGGTTTTGGTATTGGGTGATACTGGCTTCATAGAATGAGTTAGGGAGGATTCCCTATTTCTCTACCTTGTGGAATAGCGTCAACAGGATTAGCACCAATTCTTCTTTGAATGTCTGATAGAATTCAGCTGTGAATCCATCTGGTCATGGGCTTTTTATTGTGGGCAATTGTTTAATTATCATTTCAATGTCACTGCTTGTTATTGGTCTTTTCAGAGTTTCATTTTCTTCCTGGTTTAACCAAGGAGAGTTGTATATTTACAGGAATATATCCATCTCCTCTATGTTTTCTAGTTTATGTGTGTAAAGGTATTCATAGTAGCCTTGAATGATCTGTATTTCTGTGGTATTGGTTGTAATACTTCCCATTTCATTTCTAATTGAGCTTATTTGTATCTTCTCTCTTTTTTTCTTGGTTAATCTCATTATGGCCTATCAATTTTATTTATCTTTTCAAAGAACAAGCTTTTTGTTTCATTTACCTTTTGTAGTTTTTTTGTTTCAATTTCATTTAGTTCTGCTCTGATCTTTGTTATTCTTTTCTTCTGTTGGGTTTAAGTTTGGTTTGTTCTTCTTTCTCTAGTTTCATGAGGTGTGACCTTAGATTGTCTATTTGTGCTGTTTCAGACTTTTTCATGTAGGCATTTAAGGGTATGAACTTTCTTCTTAGCACTGCCTTTGCTGTATCCCAGAGGTTTTGATAGGTTGTGTCACTATTATTGTTCAACTCAAAAAAATTTTAATTTCCATCCTGATGTCATTGCTAAGCCAACAATCACTCAGGAGCAGATTATTTAATGTTCATGTATTTGCACGGTTTTAGGGTTCCTTTTAGAGTTGATTTCCAATCTTCTTCCACTGTGATCTGAGAGAGTACTTGATATAATTTCTATTTTCTTAAATTTATTGAGACTTGTTTTGTGGCCTATCATATGGTCTATCTCGGAAAATGTTTCATGTGCTGATGAATAGAATATATATTTTGCAGTTGCTGGCTAAAACGTTCTGTAAATATCTGTTAAGTCCATCTGTTGTAGAGTTTAAGTCCATTGTTTCTTTGTTGACTTTCTGTCTTTATGACCTGTCCAGTGCTGTCAGTGAAGTATTGAAGTCCCCCACTATTATTGTGCTGTTTTCTATCTCATTCCTTAGGCCTAGTAGTAATTGTTTTATATATTTGGGAGCTGCAGGTTAGGTGCATACATATTTAGGATTGTGATATTTTCCTGTTGAACAAGCCCTTTTATCATTATATAATGTTCCACTTTGTCTTTTTTAACTGCTGTTGCTTTAAAGTTTGTTTTCTCTGATATAAGAATAACTACTCCTGCTCACTTTTGCGTGTCTGTTTGCATGGAATATCTTTTTCCACCCCTTTACCTTAGGTTTATGGAAGTCCTTATGTGTTAGGTGAGTCTCTTAAAGACAGCAAATACTTGGTTGGTGAATTCTTATCCATTCAGCCATTCTGTATCTTCTAAATGGAGCATTTAGGTCATTTACATTCAACATTAGTATTGAGATGTGAGGTACTATTCTATTCATCATGCTATTTGTTGCCTGAGTACCTTGGGGTGTGTGTGTGTGTGTGTGAATGTTTTACAGGTCCTGTAAGATTTATGTTTTAAGGAGGTTCTATTTTGGTGTATTTTGAGGATTTGTTTCAAGATTTAGAGCCGCTTTTAGCAGTTCCTGTAGTGCTGGCTTGGTAGTGGCAAATTCTCTCAGCATTTGCTTGTCTAGAAAAGACTGTATCTTTCCTTCATTTATGAAGCTTAGTTTCACTGGATACAAAATTCTTGGCTGATAATTGTTTTGTTTAGGAGGCTAAAGATAGGACCCCAATCCCTTCTAGCTTGTAGGTTTTCTGCTGAGAAATCTGCTGTTAATCTGGTAAGTTTTCCTTTATAGGTTACTGATGCTTTTGCCTCACGCTCTTCAGATTCTTTCCTTAGTCTTGACTTCAGATAACCTGATGATTATGTGCCTAGGTGATTATCTTTTTGTGATGAATTTCCCAGGTGTTCTTTCAGCTTCTTGTATTTGAATGTCTAGATCTTTAGCAAGGCAGGGGAAGTTTTCCTCAGTTATTCCCTCAAATATGTTTTCCAAACTTTTAGATTTCTCTTCTTCCCCAGGATCACCAATTATTCTTAGATTTTTGTTATTTAACATAATCCCAAACTTCCTGGAGGCTTTGTTTATTTTTTAACTTTTTTCTTCGTCTTTGATGGATTGGGTTAATTCAAAGGCCGTGTTTTTGAGCTCTGAAGTTATTTCTTCTACTTGTTCTATTCTGTTGCTGAGGATTTTCTGTGTATTTTGCATTTTTGTAAGTGTGTCCTTCATTTCCAGAAGTTGTGATTGCTTTTTATTTATGCTATCTATTTCTCTGGAAATTTTTCCATCCATGTCCTATAACATTTTTAAAATTTCTTTGAGTTGGTATTTACTTTTCTCCGAGGCCTCCTTGAGTAGCTTAATAATTGACCTTCTGAATTCTTTTTCTGGCAATTCAGAGATTTCTTCTTGATTTGGATCCATTGCTAATGAGCTAGTGTGATCTTTTGGGGGTGTTAAAGAACCTTGTTTTGCCATATTACCAAAATTGTTTTTCTGGTTCCTTCTCATTTGGGTAGACTACATCAGAGATCCAGTGTTCAAGGGCTATTGTTCAGATTCTTTTGTCCCATAGGGTATTACCTGGATGTGGGTGCTCAGGGATGAGGCTTCATGAGAGCCAAACTGTAGAGGTTGTTACTTCTCTTCTGGATCTAGCTGCCCAGCAGAGCTACCAGGCTCCAGGCTGCTACTGGGGAGTGTCTGCAAAGAGTCCTGTGATGTGATCCATCTTCAGTTTTCTCAGCCCTGGATACCAGCACCTGCTCTGGTAGAGATAGCAGGTGAGTAAAGTAGACTCTGTGAGGGTCCTTGGTTGCAGTTTTGTTTACTGTGCTAGTTTTGGGTTTGTTGGCCTCCAGCCAAGAGGTGGCACTTTCAAAACAGCATCAGCTGTGGTACTATAGAGAGGATACAGGCTTACCCTAGTGTCACCTGGAAAAGTTTCTCAGGTAGTTGGTGTGGCCATACAGCTCCCAAGAGATTATGTCCTTTGTCTTCAGCTACCAGGGTGGGTAGAGAAAGACCATAAGTTTGGGGCAGGGTAAGGCATGTCTGAGCTCAGACTCTCCTCAGGCAGTGCTTGCTGAGGCTGCTGTGGGGAATGGGGGTGTCATTTTCAGGCCAATGGAGTTATATTCCCAGGGTGATTATGGCTGCCTCTGCTGCATCATGCAGGTTGCCAGGGAAGTGGAGGAAAGCCAGCAGTTACAGCCCCCACCTAGCTCTCACCCAGCTCCCACACAGCCCAAAAGGCCGGTCTTACTTTCACCGTGCCAACCCCCCCAACAGCACCAGGTTTATTTCCAGGCAGTGGGTAAGCAGGGCTGAGGATTTGTCCCAGGCTCCAGGCCTTCCCGCTGGGAAAGCAAGTAGGGCTTTCAGGTTTCATGCCTTCCTGCCTGCCACAACTTCTGTGCTGTTTCTGCGCTCCCAGTTCACCCTCTCACCCAGATTCTGTCCAGGAAACTTCATGTTTGGTTGAAATTGTTACAAAGTTCAGCTGGAGGTTTCCTTCTCCCTGTAGTCTTTCCCCAATTCCACTGGTATCCCTTCCCAAGGACCCCTGTGAGACAAAGTCAGAAATGGCTTCCCTGGGAACAAAGAGTGCCCACATGCTCTTCCCACTGCTTCGTCTACCCCTGTATTTCACTCAGCTCTCTATGTTTATCTCAGCTCCAGGTAAGGTCAAATCCTTCTCCCATGATCTGGACCTTCAGGTTCCCCAGTGAGGATGTGTGTTCAGGGGCAGACGATCCCCCTTTCACACCTTCACACTTTGGGCACTCACAGTTTTTTGGATGTCTCCCAGAGCCTGCACTTCCTTCAAAGGGTCTGTGGATTCTCTCGACTTTCCTGGTGTATTCCTGCACTAGTTCTTGGAGCAAAAGTTCACAGTGTGAGTCTCCACACACTGCTCTGTCCATCCAAGTGGGAGGTGTAAGTTAGTCCTGCCACCTATCCATCATTTTCCTCACAAAACTTTTGAAAAACTGTTTGAACTTTGGAAACTACTGAACAATAAAATCTATATTTGTTGTGGGCTTGCCCTAATAAAAGTTTGTAAGTCACTTTTAATTCCTTTCTTAAAAATAATTGCATAGCTAATAATCCTTGATGTTTAACCAACTGCAGAACTTGAATTGTCAATATTTTTATAGTATCTATACCTAGAAAGGCTTATGGAAAACAATAAGGAAACAGCTGTTTTCAAGTCCTCATTAGAACTTAATTTTAGGAATCTTTACACATTCTGATGCAATTTTTACTCTAGCAGCCTAACTACCATGTGTATTTTATGAAACTCCAAATGTTGGCATTTTATCCTGTATTTGAGAAAAAGCATTAAATAATTTATTTTACACTTCTTTCAAGTTTTACCTGCTTAGAGTCTAATAGTCTTTCTTTAAAGGCAACAGAGAAACATCATGATTTTTTAAATGAGATAAATGTTCCAATGGCAAATACACTATAACCATTATTCTGCTACTATTCATAAGTGTTTCCCTACTACACAGCCAGTGTCTGGTACAACAGGAAACTGTTAATGTGATTTTCATTTGTTCCTTGAATATCTCCAGCTGAATATGTGAGATTTTTTTTCCTTAATCTTGGTCCTATTTAGTTTGGGAGGTTTTGTTTATTTCTTTGATTTTCAGTTGTGGTGGGGTTTTTTTAGCTAAGATATAGCAAATAATGTTAAAAGATGGATTTTGATGGGTATAATTTTTTCTTAATGAAATCTACAAACCAAGTAACTGAATTTTTAAATCAGCCATTCTGGATATCTTCTGCTAGTGTTTTAAAGCCTCAGATATTTAGGTGGAAAAGTCTAGAAAGAATAACATTATATAAAAGGATTCAATTATAATCAACATTTTTCTTGTCGCCCATATACTCACTTCTTCCCTTGCCCAGCCTAAATTCCACAGTCAATCACTAAAGCATTGTCCTGCATGACACTCAATTCCCTACTCCACTCTCTCTTCTCTTAGTCACTTGGCAAAACTTCAACCCTCATTAAATTCTACTCTGTCTGCTCTATGTGGCTGATTGATCTCACTTTAAATTCATGACCACTAAACCCCAGTGGGCCCACTATGCTACTTTGTAATCACAGTATATTTCCTATTCAAGTAATTGTCCCACTCTCCTAGGCAACTGCCTCATAATCTCTCCTCAATCTTCTAGCACCTTCTCCTTTATCCTCACTCTTAGCTGATAACCTTGGTTCCTATTTCAATTAAAGAGCCAAAGAGATTATTTTAAAACATCAGTCAGATGCTTACAACCTTCCAGTGGCTCCTTCCCTCTCATAGTAAATGCCAAAGTCTTTACGATGACCTGCATGACCTGACACTATTACATCTCTGATCTCATCTTCTATACTTACCCCTCTTTTATTGCTCCTTCCTTATTGACCCCTTTGTTGTTCAGTTAATACATTAAGTTCTCTCCTACCTCTGGGCCTTTGCACCTGCCATTTCCTCTGCCTAGAACGCTCTTCCCCTGTATATATTTTTATGGCTCACTCCTTTGCTTCCTTTCTCTTTAAATATCACCTTCTCAATGAGGTCTCCTCTGACCCTTTTATTTAAATTTGAATCCCTTCATTCACCCTGGAACTCCCTCTACCCTTTTCCTGCTTTATTTTTTGCCACAGCACTTATCACCATCTGCATACTGTATGCTTTACTCATTTATTTTGTTTTTTGCCTATATCCATCTACTAGAACATAAGTTTTGGCCTATGGGCCAGAATTATAGCCTATTTTGTCCACTGTTGAAACTCTAGCACTTGAAACTACTTTATACCTACTGGGTGCTTAAGCAATATTTGTTGAATGAATGAATAAATAAAATACCTTTATTAAAGGAGGTGTGTCGAAACTTCACCTGTTGGCTTGCTAGTTTATGTCAGGTTGTTCTCTCTGTAATCGTTAAAAACAAGCACTTAAATCCACATTTGTATTTGGTCAGTAAAATTACAAAAATAATCTTACTTTTAAGATTAAGCTGTGAACAACGCTGTGTCCAGCAGGAACATCTGTGAGCCGTTTCCTTTGCCCAGAAAAAGAGAGTTGCTGTTGTCCACTCTCAGTGATATCTCAGAAATAATGGCTTGTAGCTCAAAGATGCTTTCTCTCTTTTTACAAAACCATAAGACCCACAAAAATTACATTAGAGCCAGGATTTGCTTAAGTCCCACTCACATTAACCATTATTACTCACCTCCCTACAAGAGTACAAAAGTAACCAAATGTTCCCTTCATGTTAGTCAAAGTTTTTTGTTTTTTGCTTTTTGGTTTTTTCAGACAAGGTCTCTGTCACCCAGGCTGGAGTGCAGTGGTATGATCACGGCTCACCACAGCCTTGACCTCCAGGGCTCAAGCAATACTCCCACCTCAGCCTCCCAAGTAGCTGGGACTACAGGGGCCTTCGTGTTAGCCAAAGTTTTTTATTTTTGTTTTTTGAGACAGGGTCTCTGTCACCTGGGCTGGAGAGCAGTGGCGTGATCTTGGCTCACAGTAGTCTCGACCTCCTGGGCTCAAGCAATTCTCCCAACTCAGCCTCCCAAATACCTAGAACTACAGGCACACACCATTGCACCCAGCTAATTTTTGTATTTTTTGTGGAGATGGGGTTTCACCATGTTGGCCAGGCTGGTCTCAAACTCCTGGCCTCAAGCTATCCACCCATCTCGGCCTTCCAAAGGGCTGGGATTACAGGCAGGAGCCACGTGCCTGGCCCTTGTTAGTCAAAATGACATCCCTAGGCATTGTGTGTGTGTGTGTGTGTGTGTGTGTGTGTGTGTGTATGTGTATGTGTATATATATATATATATCTTATCTCCAAAATGTATTATACCATAAATCACTCAAAGTGTTTTCTTATGTCTATTTTTAAAGATAGCATTACATCGTATAGATCTATATTATTAATACATACAATCTGGGGTGTTGGGTTAGAGATTTTAATTGAATAGTGATTCAGGGAATTTTGTGAAGGAAAAAAAAGTGAGATCAATTTTCCCCTTGCAGACTTTAGTAGGTAATACTAATGTCATATATCTTACTTGCTTTATAAATCATGTTTTAAGTTCCCTATTACATCTAAGTATTTAGAAAAACAATCCACCAAAGCACTGGGGGAATAAACCCTCAAATTCAAATCATTAAAATGAAATCTGTCTCTGAATGTTTGAAAGGATTTACAGTAAAAATATCAGTTTGATATTGTCAATGAAAGGTATCATTCATGAACCTGAAGGAGGAAAATGGCACGCAGAGTTGGGAAACTTTACAAAATTTAAAGCTGCTATAAGGGCAAGGGACTTGGGAGATTATTAATTTGCTGTAGCTAAATTCAGATACAAGCTTTTCTTTGTTATTTGACTTCTGGTGCCATTTTTTTATCGTCAAAATTAACCGAGTAACAGCCACTAGAATTTTTTATTTAAATTTATTAGCTGCATAAGCTAGCTAAAAATATGAAAGTTTTAAGACAAATTAGTTGATTTGAATGTCAACTACAATGACAGGGCCTGCTTGTTTTTCATTACACTGCTATGTTGCATTTGATAACCATATGAAAAGTAGCTAAATTGTTGTGCCTTCTACACAAAACATCGTCTGTTGATTCCAGAATATACAGAGCTACATGGGGAAGGCAGTGTGTTGAGCTGAGAGAGGCAGCTTCTGCCTTCTTATAGCACTTACAGATGGAGCCATCCGATTCAGCCACCATCTTCCATTACTTATAGTTTTGTGGGCACACATCTTATCTCCCCAGGACTGTACCTAGAGCAGTTCTGGGAGTTTCCTATTTCTTCTAATAGGCTATAACTTCCTTAAGATTAGGACCATGACTGAGTCACCTTTATAAATCTCACAAAACCAGTTACATTAAAGGCATGGATGCCTATGTTCCCAATTAAACAATAAGCCCTTGAAAGGACAGAACATCTAGTCTGATTAATCTTAAGTACAGTGTCTTAAACCTAGTTGGCAATAAATAAATATTGACTCTATTTTGAATAAATTGCTGAAGAATGAATGAATGAATGAATGGCAAATACTCTGCAACCCCTTGATAAGTGATAGCAAGGAATACTTTCTGTATAGCAAAGCAACTTTGTAGTCCAAGCCCCCCTATCTCTACTACCTCCTCCAAAGATGGAAAAATCAGAACTACCTGTGCTTCAGTAACTTCAACATAACTAGTATCATTATTTTCAGAATTTAATAAAGTATAACATTCATGTCCTAGAGCTACTGCCTCAAGCTGGTAAGATGGAAAAGATCAAATTCTCTAGCATTTTAATGATTTTTTTTTTTAGACGGAGTTTTGCTCTTATTGCCCAGCTAGAGTGCAATGGCAGGATCTTGGCTCACTGCAACCTCTGCCTCCCGGGTTCAAGCAATTCTCCTGCCTCAGCCTACCGAGTAGCTGGGATTAAAGACGCCCGTCACCACACCCAGCTAAGTTTTTGTATTTTTAGTAGAGACGGGGGTTCATCATGTTGGCCAGGTTGGTCTTGAACTCCTAACCTCAGGTGATCCGCCTGCCTCGGCCTCCCAAAGTGCTGGGATTACAGAGGTGAGCCACCGTGCTCAGCCAGGCATTTTAATGACTTTTTAAGCAAAAACCCTATTGGCCACTAGATGGCACTTGTATTAGCCGTATCTCTAATTTGAGTAGAGACTCTAAAAGTCCTTTGGTAAATATGTAGCTTGAAACATTGAAAGCATTCATTTAAAAATAAATAAAGATAAAAGACCCTTTCCAGCAAACTTATAAAGGCTAATTAAATTTATAGTATGTATATAGTATTGTAATTTTCTAATATGATGTAATCTTACACAATACTAAACTACACTAGATTAAAATGTACTATACTATACCATGCTATACTTTGTTGCAGTATTTTTCAAACTGTGGTTCTGGAAGCCTGTACAAAATAAATGTGGGATTCAGGGCTTCATCCTAGACCTACAAAATCCAAACCTTTACATGAAGCCCAGAAAACTGCATTTTAGTAAGCTCCCAAGGGATTTCTTGCAGAATAATTTCTACAGAATATAACACCACTTAAGACCACTTTCCTATGAGAAAGTCATTTACGATTTCTACTATTTACTAATATTTACTACTAACAATTTCTATCTTCTTATTACATAAGAGATTCCCTATCCTTACCAATACTCCACATTCCCAGTAATGGTTTGTCACAGCCTCCAACAGAGCTCAGGTGAAAATAAGAGAAGTTGAGGAAGAGGACTGAGATTTCCAGAGGCATGGATACAAAGATAATAGGCATTGGTGTGCCAGAACCTCCTGCCACTGTAAGACTACAGGGACACTCCTTGTGTATACCCACTTCTCTGCCTTCCTTCTCTTTCTCAGGCCAGTACCACCCCACTCCCAGCTACCTATTTCTCTGCTATCTCCCAGTGACTTGAGTACAATTTCTCTCCTCTCCCCACCTGACTACAAAATAGGCCCCAGCTCACAGCCTCTCCCCTCTGTCCCTGAAGCTCATATCTAAAGCTAGTCTGATTTCCTTTTTATCAGCAGCCAAGAGAAATAAATAGCAGCAAAAAAAACAACAAAAAACAAAAC
The DNA here is from genome assembly GCF_000001405.40 of Homo sapiens. Lineage (NCBI taxonomy): Eukaryota > Metazoa > Chordata > Mammalia > Primates > Hominidae > Homo > Homo sapiens. The sequence goes on from NC_000007.14 coordinate 91,831,172, forward strand.
AAAAAAAACTCTCCTCTGCATTGCCTAATTCACTGTAGGTAGAATTAGCCAAATAAAATTTGGGACATCCAGTTAAAGTTGAATTTTAACAAATAATTTTCTTAGTATAAGTATGTCCCAAATAATTGCATCAGACATAGTTATACCAAAAAATTATACATTTTTGCCTGAAATGCAAATTTAACTGGATATCTTATATTTTTATTTGCAAAATCTGACAACTCTAGCTGTAGGAGAGAAGGAAAGAATACAGAGGTGGTTAGGTGATAATGGCACGGTTTTGGGTACTTAAAGGACTGCAATGAGAATCATCTACACGTCAGGAAATCCAGATTCAAACTCCTGTGAGCATCTCACCTCAGAAGCAGAGGCTCTGCTCAAGATGAAATGGAGCCTCCCAAAACTACAGATGGTATCAGTGTTGAGACAGGTAATACTATCATATATAACAATCTAGGAAACAGTGGAGAAAATACTGAAATGGGAGAGTTCCCTCACAGGACAGGCAACAAGGGTGTGGCTCATCTGTTCAGCGCTCAAACCCCTTACAGGAGGGGGAGTGTGCAGACGGCAGGTGCAGGAGCACAGGCTCCCGCTCCTGGGCTCTGGCCCCACAACATCATCCAGGAGTGGGAGCCTGCGACTCCTGAAGCCCATGTGGGTGTGTGCTACAGTGTGCTCTTTTAGCCTTGCCATCCGCAGATGGTTTGTTAAAAAGGTCGGTGCCCTCTTGGTACCCAGGTCCTTGTCCGGCGTCCAGGAAGAATCAGGTCGCACACCGACTTAAGGATGGTGAATGCAGGGGTTTTACTGAGCAGGGGAAGTGGCTGTCAGTGGGATAGATGGGGAGCTGAAAGGGATGATGGAGTGAAAAGATGATCTTCCCCTGGAGTTTGGCCATCCTGGGGCCAATCTCCTCTCTGCCTGTCCCCAGCCAATCTCTCGACGTTCAAAACGCTCCTTCTCTTCTCTTCTTCTCTGCCATACCATTCTGTGATTCTTCTGCTCTTCTGTTTGTCTCCTCATATGCTTGTCTGCTCATGGATCCTGGGGTTTGGGATTTATATGGGTACAGGTTAGGCAGGCATGGCAGGCCAAAAGGCAACTTTTGGGCACGAAAACAAAAATGCCTGTTCACATTTAGGGCCATGGGTTTCCAGGCTTGAGGGTGGGGCCTTTGCCAGAGAACTGCCCTCTTCTACCCAGTATTTCCCTTTCTCCTGTTCATATCAATACCAAGGTACACCACATATAGTAAGAATAATTATTGTTTCCTCAACAACAGGTATGAAATTTTTGTATTTGTGTATATGTATGGTATTGAGTCACTGTGTAAAATATATTTCTTTTGGGAGTACAGTCCAAAAAGTTTTATAAAGACTGCTCTGAGCCTCTTAGCAAAGGCAGCTATCCTCAGTGACTGCCTGACTGTAAGAACATACATAAATTGGGAAATATCTATAGTATGTTAGCTTATTTTTTTGAGCAGTTCCTACTCCCTAGCACATATCTTTGATATGAGCAATCCTGAAGAATAGTCTACTGTGACAGAGACTGGCTCTGTTCTTTCTTTAAAATGTATCACAGCTCCCAGATGCCTTGCAATTTGGTGGGCTCGTGTGACTGGCTGTCACCAGCAGTGTGGAGGAGGGGGTGATGTGTGTCACCTCCAGGTGGTTAAGAGCTTGTGTAACTTCTCCCCATCGTGTCTGAAGGCTGGATGCAGCCAAAATTTCAATGCTTTAGAAGGTAGCAGAATGATTCATTGGATTTGGGATGCCGAGGCGGGCAGATCACCTGAGGTCGGGAGTTCGAGACCAGTCGGACCAACATGGAGTAACTCCATCTCTACTAAAAATACAAAATTAGCTGGGCATGGTGGCACATGCCTGTAGTCCCAGCTACTTGGGAGGCTGAGGCAGGAGAATCGCTTGAACCTGGAAGGCGGAGGTTGTGGTGAGTTGAGATCGAGCCATTGCACTCCAGCCTGGGCAACAAGAGTGAAACTCCGTCTCCACAGAGTAAAGCTCCAACCTGCCCCTGACAACCTGCATCAGGAATGTTTTCCATTTCATTAACACAATTACGGCATTTATAGTTACTCACGGCTTTGTATTTGTGCATGTATATTAATAATATTACCAATTTGTTCTTGAGTTTCTTTTTCCATACTTCAATTTTTATATGGATCATAATAGGAAATAATGGTGGTTTATATGAGTTATCATTTACACGCAAAACAAATTGGAACTGCTAAGGCCAGGATAGTGAATAATAAATTATACACATCTGATACCCTTCAAAGTAATCTTAAATAAGAATGCAATCTTATGTGCAGTTAGTTTAACCTATCTTTCTTGATAGTGGGATTAACTCTTCTCTAAATAAGTAATTTATAAAAGTAACTCAAAAGCCAAGGTCAGTGATATTCACCTGTAATTCCAACTACTTGGGAGGCTGAGGTGGGAGGATCACTTGAGCCCAGGAATTCAAGCCTATAGTGCACAATTGTTGAGTTTGTGAATAGCCACTGCACTCTAGCCTGGGCAATGTAGCGAGACCCTGTCTCTAAAAAATTGTTAGATAAAAAGTAAATGCGACTCAAAGTGAATGCAGTTAATTTATGTTACTGCCTATCTTAAATCCTTACTACCTCCAGGATAAGATCCGAACACCTCAGCATATCATGCTTTCCCTTGCTTATCTCCCTTGCCTCTGTCTCTACTTCCCCAGCCTCTCACACTGAAGCAATTCTGAATTACTCGCAGGTTGTACTTGTAACCTAAAAAGCTTATTTAAAATACAGATGTCTAGAGTCTGGTGCTAAGAGTCTTGTTCAGTAGAGCTGGGGTGGGAAACTAACCTCTACATTTTAATAAATATCTCAGGTGACTCTGATGCAGGTGAATTACAGATCACCTTTTGAGAAATGCTGATGACAACAAATGATAAAAATAATACTAGGAGATGTTTTACATGACAATTTTAATAAGAAAAAAAGCTAAAAATTGCATTTATTTTGATTATTTTTAAATACATAGACTAGTTACTCATTTTATTTATGCAAAAAGTTATAAAAGTAAGTAGGGACACTTCATTTCTAAAATATCTACTGAATTTATTTCTAAGATAATGAGTAAAGCAATTTTCCACTTTGATTAAGAAAAGTACTAATCATTGTAACTTCCACTGCTGTGCTTTTAAAAATTATGAATCTGTATATTCAAAAGTAAAATATTGACTGGATTTGGTGGCTCATGCCTATAATCCCAGCATTTTGGGAGGCTGAGGTGGGAGGTTCGCTTGAGGCCAGGGGTTTGACATTAGCCTGGGCAACACAGCGAGATCCCCTCTCTAAAACAAACAAACAAAAAAGATCAATTTCTATATTTATTAGGCTGATTTGAAAAAAATAATAGTAGTAATATAAATAGATAATATTACCATTTGAATCATCAGGACTAAACAATCATGGGTTATATTTAATAGGGAAAAAACAGTCTCTAGCTGCCACACCTCACAGATAGAGTCAAAGAAAAATTCATTTTTCAAAATTAATTTTAATCAGGAGGATAGTTCCACATACGTGAGTTATTCAATGTCCCATTGCAACTTCTTGACCATTGGTTTAGTTCCCAGAGCTAGACTCGTTTTAGTGAAATTTGGAACCATAGATCTAAACTTTCATATCTTACTTCAATCCACAGTGAGACTTTTTGCAAATCACTCCCCGTCTCTTTTTACACTCCTCATCTATTAAACAGGACTAACAATTGCCAATAACCTTAAGTCTGAAAAAATATATATACTATAATCATATCTCTAACAAAATTTGAGATCTTAGGAATAAATCACTGGATATAAATACAAAATGTAATTATCCTGAAAGCTTTCCCTATTGCAGTATTGGTAGAGTACATATTTCAAACACAAATATTTAAAAAGGTTATTCTCATCATTAACATTAATAAATATTTACTGAGGTGCCTATCGGGTATTTGGCAATGCACTAGTGAGCAATCTTACATCAAGTTTGAAATAGATTCACATTGCAGAGAAATATATAACCTAAATTAGAGTCTCAGAAATTGGAGACTGGCCAGGTTCTCTCCTCTAGGAAAAAAAGAATTCAAACACATGAAGAGCTAACTGAGCACTGGACACAAATATCAACAGCTGAGCTGAACCACTTCCTTGGCTACTAGTCCTACAAGCATCACTCTCAGATTTCTTCTATAAAGAGATACAACCATAATCCACAAGTAACTGAAAGAACACCTCCTCTGAAGTCTGGGACTTTCTTCTCTGAAGTTTCTGAACTACATCAGCTCTTTACCACAGCCCTCTATGCCTGCTGGCCCAAAGAAATCTGTTCTAATAAAACCTCAAGCCTCCCCACTGAGTATCCTCTATTTAGAATTCCAGAGTTGGCTTCTGAGATTAAGAACTCTTTTAACCCATTTGTAAAAATTTAGTCAAGACAGGATATAACATGTTGCACAGTAATTACACCAAGAATTCCGTGTCAAAGGCTCAAAATCTCATTTTACTTTTTATACATCTTGGGACCTGCAAAAGTGACTTCACTTCTCTGGAACTCTTTTCTCTCATCTAGAAAATGTAAAGATGAATACTAACCTGCTTTGATCAAAAGCTTGTTACATGGGGGAAAAAATACATTTGTAAAGGTCTTTGGAAAATACAAAGAGCTATAGAAATGTTAGATAATAAAGGTTTTGTCCAAGCAAGACTGGAATGGCTACTTCTCCTCATTTTGACCTTCTGTTGAACTCACCTTCCTCTTCAGGCTACAAAAGAAGGAACCCTATATTTCCTCTCTAAGGAAGTTTTTAAAATACATTTTAAAATGCCTTTTATATTCATGTTTCAAGTTCTGCTGGAACTGGCTTTTCCCCCCCCATTATATATACAAGATAATGAGGAATTCAGAAGAACCACCTGCTGATGAAAACATTCACAAGCTGGCCTGCTGCCCAGCAAGGATGAGTCCAATCCATAAGCAACTGGAGAAATCTGCCTCCTTTAACACAAGCAGTCGGGTCCCTAATCTTGCATCACAGACTTTAGGCTCTCAGCTCTTAAACAAATTCTCACAGAATGAGAATACCTCTCCCAAGAAATTTGAGTTTCGAATTGGTTGAATTCCTTACCTCTTGGGAGCTTTTCCTTCTCTGATTTGTGTCCTGAAAATAATTCTTTTATTTCTATTACAAAGCATTTTTGCATATTTTGGTACATGAACAACCAATACCGATGGAGAAGAGTACCACTTTAATGAATTCACACATAGGTATGAAATTATCTGTCTACTGAAGTAGACAGGTGCCCTCAAGACGAGATGATGAAAAACAAATGCTCTTCCTTATTCCCAAATTTTACAGTCATTCTGTTTTGTTTACGATGGCAATGAGGAGAAATTGTCCAGCCAAAAGACTTTCAACATCTTATTTCACCCATCCTGAAACAAAGTAAAAGCATAAAATATAAAAATAAAATACAATTCTGAGTTCTAAAGAAAGGTATTGCCTTAATCCCTTTTACCAGTCCAGAAGTGCTAGATTAATGCTTGATAATACTTGTCATTGTTTTGTGTGAATACTTTGAAAAAAAGTAAAAAAGAAAAACACTATACAAATCCTATGGCAATATATTACAGCAACACAAATTTAAAATTCGTAGAGTTTTCACATACACTATTTAATTTAACCTCACAACAACCCCAAGAGGTAGGCAGAGCAGCTATTAGTATCCCCGTTTTTCAGATGAGGAAACTGCAACACAGAGGGGCCTAAAGACATGCCCTTGTCTGCTTAGTAAGAAATGGTAGAGCTACAAGACAAACCCAGGACTGGACTTTCTGTATTCACAGTGCTGCTTGCCTTAGTTACTTTAAGAAGAGTAGAAAATAAGATTGGAAGGGCAGGTAGGGGCCAGATCACGGAGGATCTTGAATTCCAGGCAATGCAGAATCATTCAAGCAGTATTGGGGGTTTTTTTGTTTGTTTTGGTGGAGTTTTTTGATTGGTGTTTTAAATCAGAGTTTATCAGAATAAGTAGGGCAAAGGTATGTATAATAGATTAAGGAAAAGGTAGTGTATCAGTTTAGGTATAGTCAGGATACAGAAGCCACCACAGTAATTTCAGTAGGAAACATTTAGTATAAAAAATTATTTAAGTATAATAGGGGAGTAACCATAAAGATGTAAGATAACTCAAAAAAGAACACTATGTTTGATGGAGAATACAAAAAGAAAAAGAGAATACAAAAAGTAGAAGAAACTAGGAAGGAGGGCTGCCTCCCCAAGGCTGGAGTAAAGACCTCATTGGAGAAGGTATGTTTGCAGCCCACTGGATAATGAAGAGGTTTGCTGGGTTGGCCAGGTCAGCGTTGGTCTTTAGTCACCAGAGAGCAGCAGACAACCCTCTAGGGAGCAGGCAAGCTGAGGATGGTGGGTGGACACACACACAGAATCACTGCTGCTGGTTTGCGAGGTGTGAAGCACCTGCTATCCATGGTGGGACAGTTACAAAAACAACCTTCTGAAGAGCAGGTAAGCCAAAACACGTGGACAGACACACAGAAGAAATCAGGATGCCACTGCTAGCACAAGGCCTGGAACACACCAGTGCCCACATTGAGAGAGTCACAGCAAGGCAGACGCTGGGTCCAGGCCAGGCCTTTGAGGTCACCATGAGACTGCAAGTTCTGGGGCACATCTGGAGCAGACTGCCAGTAAATGACTGCCACACACACACACTACTAATAGACCCTGACACTACATCAAGGAAAAGCAAAATGTAGCACACAGTAACCAGGAAGAGAAGACTGTGTCTTCCTGCAATGTCCTTCCATCAACCTCTACTGACACAGCTCAATATCATTCTCACTGTGACAGAGAAATGCCTAAAGAGTCCAATCCCTTATCCCAGAGCAGGTATTGACAGGTAAATTTGGAGCTGAGAGACTATTGGTAACTGGCACAGAGAGCATCAAGTTCCTCCTTCTCTCTCACCTGAACCACAGTATTGACAACATAAATTGCCATTGATTGGAACAATAATTTGGTAAAGGTCCTACAGCCATTTCCCAGGCTATTCTGAGTTCATGTAACTATGATCTCCAATGGGCCCCTTAAAAATATTCTCCTATTGCATGTTTAATGACAATTCTAATATAAAATTCTAACTCTTCAAAAGTTTTCTGTATCTTCCTTTTTTCAGGGGAAGGCAATTAGGAAAAGGAAATAGTAAAAAGGAAACAGAAAGATGGCATCTGGAAAAATGAAGACATTTGTTCCAGCATACTGTCATGGACCGCTAAAGCTGACCCTGGTGGTAAGATCACTTTGAAAAGAACTGGGACTTCAGTCAGTTAAAAAAAACTTTCCTACCTATCAGTGACTGATCCTCTTACCTGCTTGACAAACACTTCTTGCTTAAAGTACGGGGATCAAAAACCTTTTCAACTGATCTCTTTAAGCTTAGTCACATGCATTAAGGGAATGGAAGAGACTAAAAGGAAAGAGGGAATTAAGATGAATAATACTTATGAAGCAAGCATTGCAAAAAGTATATTCCTGATCATAGGTGTGCAAGCTTCTCCACAAAGAATGTATATGAATGGATTTTTAGAAGCTTTTTAATGTTTACCACTTTAAAAGTTTCTAATGGAGAAGGAAAGTCCAAAGAAGGAAGAACAAAACAAAACAATAGAAAACTGTGAGATTTACCATCTATGTAGGAAATGCACTGCCTTTTCCACAAGCCATCAAACCACTAACTTTCCTTTCCTTTTAAAGTGATTCATTTTTTACTGCAAAATCATCTCCCAAAATTCCATAATACATATTAATCAAGAACCTTAAAAATTATCATATTCTTCAGTAAAGCAATTCCATTTGATATTATTGACCACTCACTCATTCTAGTGGATTGCATTATACAATGCCCTCCTAATTTTCCCCCTACCTCACCCTTAAACATTGGCATTTCTGAGATCTGTTGTAGGCCTTTTCTCTCATCATGCTACTCATCCATCTCCTCAGTCACCAATTGCATGGTTTCAATTTCTACCTACACGCCAATGACATAAATCTGTTTCTGCATCCTAGACTTGCCTTCTAAGCAACAGACCTATATATCCAACTAACTCTAAACATATTACAAATGTCTCTCAGGCACCTCAGAACCAACATGTACAAAACTAAAGTCATCACCTTGACCACAATCTTTCTCTTGCTCCTTTATCCTTTTTTTTTATATACTTTAAGTTTTAGGGTATCTGTGCACAACGTGCAGGTTTGTTACATATGTATACATCTGCCATGCTGGTGTGCTGCACCCATTAACTCGTCATTTAGCATTAGGTATATCTCCTAATGCTATACCTCCCCCCTCCCCCAACCCCACCACAGGCCCTGGTGTGTGATGTTCCCCTTCCTGTGCCCATGTGTTCTCATTGTTCAATTCCCACCTATGAGTGAGAACATGCGGTGTTTGGTTTTTTGTCCTTGCGATAGTTTGCCGAGAATGATGGTTTCCAGCTTCATCCATGTCCCTACAAAGGAGATGAACTCATCATTTTTGTGGCTGCATAGTATTCCATGGTGTATATGTGCCACATTTTCTTAATCCAGTCTATCATTGTTGGACATTTGGGTTGGTTCCAAGTCCTTGCTATTGTGAATAGTGCCGCAATAAACATACGTGTGCATGTGTCTTTATAGCAGCATGATATATAATCCCTTGGGTATATACCCAGTAATGGGATGGCTGGGTCAAATGGTATTTCTAGTTCTAGATCCCTGAGGAATTGCCACACTGACTTCCACAATGGTTGAACTAGTTTACAGTCCCAACAACAGTGTAAAAGTGTTCCTATTTCTCCACATCCTCTCCAGCACCTGTTGTTTCCTGACTTTTTAATGATCGCCATTCTAACTGGTGTGAGATGGTATCTCATTGTGGTTTTGATTTGCATTTCTCTGATGGCCAGTGATGATGAGCGTTTCTTCATGTGTCTTTTAGCTGCATAAATGTCTTCTTTTGAGAAGTGTCTGTTCATATCCTTTGCCCACTTTTTGATGGGGTTGTTCATTTTTTTCTTGTAAATTTGTTTGAGTTCATTGTAGATTCTGGGTATTAGCCCTTTGTCAGATGGGTAGATTGCGAAAATTTTCTCCCATTCCGTAGGTTGCCAAATCATGAGTGAACTCCTATTCACAATTGCTTCAAAGAGAATAAAATACCTAGGAATCCAACTTACAAGGGATGTGAAGGACCTCTTCAAAGAGAACTACAGACCACTGCTCAAGGAAATAAAAGAGGATACAAACAAATGGAAGAACATTCCATGCTCATGGGTAGGAAGAATCAATATCATGAAAATGGCCATACTGCCCAAGGTAATTTATAGATTCAATACTATCCCCATCAAGCTACCAATGACTTTCTTCACAGAATTGGAAAAAACTACTTTAAAGTTCATATGGAACAAAAAAAGAGCCCGCATTGCCAAGTCAATCCTAAGCCAAAAGAACAAAGCTGGAGGCATCATGCTACCTGACATCAAACTATACTACAAGGCTACAGTAACCAAAACAGCATGGTACTGGTACCAAAACAGAGACATAGACCAATGGAACAGAACAGAGCCCTCAGAAATAATGCCGCATATCTACAACTATCTGATCTTTGACAAACCTGACAAAAACAAGAAATGGGGAAAGGATTCCCTATTTAATAAATGGTGCTGGGAAAACTGGCTAGCCATATGTAGAAAGCTGAAACTGGATCCCTTCCTTACAAAAATTAATTGAAGATGGATTAAAGACTTAAATGTTAGACCTAAAACCATAAAAACCCTAGAAGAAAACCTAGGCAATACCACTCAGGACATAGGCATGGGCAAGGACTTCATGTCTAAAACACCAAAAGCAATGGCAACAAAAGCCAAAATTGACAAATGGGATCTAATTAAACTAAAGAGCTTCTGCACAGCAAAAGAAACTACCATCAGAGTGAACAGGCAATCCCTTCAACTCTTGCAGGAAATTCTACTTCCTAAATATTTTTGAAATCCACCCACCTCCCTCCATCCCCAGCAACTCCCCTAAATTATGGCACTATCATCTAATGCCTTCTCAGGGAATGTCTTTCCACACAACCCATTCTCCACGAGAGAGAGTCATTCTTAGAAATATGTCGTTCTTAGAATGACACATTTGGACAGAGTCATTCTTAGAAATCAGAAATCACATTACTCCATAATGAGAAGGGCTTAAAACCCTTCTAGTTACTATTAGGATACAGTTCAATCTTAACATAAAAAGTCCTTTATTTTGCCCAGCCTAGATCACTGTGTTCATTTTCCTCATCTTCCTTCACCAGCACCTTCTCTCTTGCCTCCAAGCCTCTGTATATGCTGCTAACTCTGTAGAACCCTCTTCCTTTCCACCTAGTCCTGTGCACTTAATCTATTGCTACTCATGTCAAGATTAAGATTTTCATTCCATGAAAAACTTCCTCAGATCCCTTGGTTTGAGATGACCGTATACTGTGGTCCCAGGGTACCCTATACTTCTCCCAATATAAGCATGTTTCACCTTTATTTCTTAAAAGCAGCTTTAAGTTATAATTTATGTACAATAAAACTCACCAATTTAAGGGTATAATTTAATACAATTTGATAGATGTGTCAGTTGTATAACAACGACCACAATCAAAATACAGAACATTTCTATCAGACCAAAAAGTTCTGTTGCAACTTTCTTCAAATCAATCCTCTCTCCACACTTCTGGCTTCAGCATTAACCACTGATATGCTCTCTTTCACTATAGTTTTGATAGGGACAGGAGGCAGAGAAATTCTAGGCAGAAAAGGGTGGTGTCCCTGGCGAAGCCCCACCCTCAAGCCTAGAACCATGGCCCAAAGTGAGAACATCCCCATTTTTCTGCTCGAATGTTGCCTTTTCCAAAACCCTCCTGGCCCGCCCTGCCCCACATTCTGTACCCATAAAAACCCCAGGCTCCACTGGCAGAGGAACAGCAGAAAAGAAGAGAAGCAGCAGGGAGATGTCAGAGAAGCAGCTTGACTTCAGAGGCACAGCTTGACAGTGGGATTTGAGAGAAGAGCCTGGCCAGGGACAGCCAGACTCCAGGAGAAGACCACTTTCCTACTCCATCCCCTTTCCAGCTCCCCTTCCCACTGCAAGCCACTTTCATCGACAATAAAATCCTCTGTATTCACCACCCTCCAATTCATTTGTGCATCCTGATTCTTCCTGGACACCAGAGCTTAGTAGCCACAGGGGCAGATGCTTGAGCTGATTAACACTTAAGCCATCTGAGGATGGCAAAGCTAAAAGCACACTGTAACACATGCCTCTGGGGCTCCAGGGGTCGTGGTACCCCCCTAGATGCTGCCATGGGGCTGCACAGAGTTCTGCTCCTGCCTGTGCCCAGAAGCACTAGTCCCGGCTCCTGCACCGCTCACCTGTGTGTTCCCCCTTCCGCAAGGGGTTCAGAGCTTTAGGATAAGTAAGTGAGGCACTGCTGTCACGAGGCCCATGAAGGGGTCAAGGAAAATGCCTTTCAGTTTTAGCTTTTCCAGAATATTACATAAATAGAATCATACAATACATAGGTCAGTCATTTGTTCCTGGCTTCTTTCTATGTTATTGCACATACTGTAATTCATTCCCTATTTTTTAATTGCTGGGCAGTATTTCACTGTATGGATGTATCCATTTGTTTATCCATTCACTTGCTGTTTCCAAACTGCTTGTTTCCAGTTTGGGGCTATTAGGAACAAAACTGCTATGAATATTTGCATACAAGTCTTTGTGTGGACATATATTTTCATTTTTCTTGGGTTAAGACCTCCAAGTGGGATTGCTTGACCATATAGTAAATGTATAACTTTATTTCTTAAACTGCCAAATTGCTTTCCAAAGTGGCTGTTTCATTTTGCATTCCCACCAATATATGCAAGCTCTAGTTGCTCTATCTTCTTGACAACCCTTGCTATGGTCATTTTAATTGTAGCCATTCAGGTGAGTGTACAGTGATATCACATTGTAACTTTGATTTGCATTTCCCTAATGACTAATGGTGTTGCACATCTTTTCATATACTTATTTGCCATTTATATATCCTGATTTGAAGTATCTGTTCAAATCTTTTTCCCACTTTTATATAGGATTATTTGACTTTTTTATTATTGAGTTAAAAGTTTCTCTATATAATCAGATACAAGTCCTTTATTAAATATATATTTTAGAAATATTTTATCCCAGTTCAAGGCTTACTTTTCATTTTCTTAGAAGTAACTTTTAAGGAGCAAAATACTTTATTTTTATTTGGGCTCAGTTTATCCATTTTTTAACATCATACTTCAATATTTTATTATAATGGCTTTAATAATTGGCTATCTTTCCTACTACAGAATAAGCTCAATGAGGAAAGACTACATGTTTCCCTTGCTTACTACTTTATTTCCTGTGCCTGACATGTAAGGCACTCTAAACCTGGCACATAAGGTACTCAACAATATTTAATTAATTGATTGTAATTGGTAAAAACATGGAGATATAATTAAGTTTTCTGTACTTGACAAACCAATCATATTACCTGCCACACTCACAGCCTGCTAAGCTGCCATATTTTGTGTCACATGGTTCTATTCTTTCTACTTTCTTCCTTTGTGGCTACATATCATTGGGCTAGAGAGAAGCAAGGTTACCTAATCCCCAGGCTGACCATCTAACTACACCCAGTCCTGATGTGGGAAAAGTCTATTCAAACAGAGGCAAGCTAGACCAATCAGAGTCTTTTTATTAAAGATTCGAGTTGCAAAATACTATAGGGAATAGGCAGATAATAGATATGAAACTGAAACAAAGGCCATGAAGCAGAACAAAGGCTATGAAAATGTTTGTTTTCTTATATTTTTAGAGACAAGGTGTCACTCTGTTGCCCAGGCAGGAGTATAATAGCGTAGTCATAGCTCACTGCAGCCTGGAACTCCTGGGCTCAAGTAATCCTAAGCTTCCCAAGTAGCTAGGACTACAGGTATGCACCACCACGCCCAGGTCTTTTGCTAGAGATGGGGTCTTGGTACGTTACCCAAGCTGGTCTCAAACTGCTGGTCTCAAGTGATCCTCCAACCTCAGCCTCCCAAAGCACTAGGATTGCAGGTGTGACTCACTGCACCCAGCCAAGATAATATTCAGAAGATGAATCTGTGAGGTAGCTAAAAGAAAAGAAGTATACTATGGTGGTCATCAACTTGATCACACATCTGAAACTTGAAAAGCTTCTTAAAAATTCATTCACCAGGTCTCATAGAATTTAATTCAACAAATATTTATTGAGTCCCTAATTTGTGCCAGACACTGTGATAGTCACTAGGATAACAGCTATCCTATACTCATGGATCTCACAGTTTAGAGAAACAAAAAGAAAAAAAGTAAACAAAATAATTATCAATCATAATAACATAATTTTTAAAAAGAACTGAAAATAGAAAAAAGAAAATAAAAACAGTAAAACCAACTCTAGACGAGATGTTCAGGGATGGCATGACTGAAGAGAGAATATTTAGCAAGTTCTCCTGTCAGTGAGAATGGAGAATGGGAAGACCACAGAGGCTTTCAAGACTGGAGTGCCAAAACCTTGTGGCTTTACCTACTTTTTACTGGCCAAAACAAGTTATGAGACAAGCCCAGATTCAAGGAGTGGGAAAATAGACTCCATCACAAATGGAAAAAGCTGCAAAGTCTGAAATGGCTGTGAGTACAGACAGGCTGTTAATTGTGCCATCAACACACTCAATCCACCTCAGCTACCACCACTGTGTGTAGACTCCTGACATGCTCGGCTTCCTCACTGGAAGCTACCATTCTGGAGTTAGTCTCCAGCTGGATCCTTCCTCTCAAGATCTGTCCTGCCTTCTATACCACCTCTTATATTCCATCTGCTTCCTTCACTCCATTTCCTATTGCCTTGAATGAACCACTGGGGCTCCCACTACCATTCAGATGAGTTCCAAGAGGCTTATAACTTCTAAGCACTGTCTCTGCCATGACAACAAATCTAAGCTGTCTTTCTGAGGATGAAATACCAACCTACAGCCAGCAGATATTCAAACATGTGAACAAGTCCAGCCAAGATCAGCAGGGCAAACTTCCAGACCCATAGCTAACCATAGATGCCTAAGTGAGCCCAGTTAAGACCAGAATAACTATCTTACTGATCTATAAATTCCAGAATAACTACACCATGGTCCATAGACTTCCACCGATTCCAATCCAATTATAAACAGCAACCATAGCAGAAACGCAGTCTTGTAGACTAGACCATGATGGTGGGAGGTGGGGGAAAGCAGAACTACAACTTAGTGCTAACATGATAAGTCAGTAGTGGTAATCCTAAGAGTGGAACTGGCAAGGAGATTTAGGGGAGTAATTCTGATCATAATTTAGGATCCTGAATATGGGCAAGGGAAAACCATGAGTCTGATTTTGGACAATTTTGATGGAGATAGTAGAGATGTTTGACAACAGTTGGCAATGTGGACCCAAGGTTTGGAAAACAGTTGCTGGTAGAAGAGCTAGCAATGAGATTAGAGGAGAGAAAAGGAGAGAAAAGGCTGCTGCTGTAGCCTTGGTTAAGGCTAAATTAGAGAAAACAAACGGGAAGAAGAGTCAATTTAAAAAAAAAGGACAAAGTAAACAGAAAGAAATCCAGGATATTGCAGTGTCTTAAAAGGCATGAGAGGCCAGGTGCGGTGGCTCACGCCTGTAATCCCAGCACTTTGGGAGGCCAAGGCGGGCGGATCACGAGGTCAGGAGATAGAGACCATCCTGGCTAACATGGCGAAACCCCGTCTCTACTAAAAATACAAAAAATTAGCTGGGCGTGGTGGCGGGTGCCTGTAGTCCCAGCTACTCGGGAGGCTGAGGCAGGAGAATGGCGTGAACCCGGGAGGCAGAGCTTGCAGTGAGCCAAGATCACACCACCGCACTCCAGCCTGGGCGACAGAGCGAGACTCCATCTCAAAAAAAAAAAAAAAAAAAAAGACATGAGAGCAGATAATTTCAAGAAATGGGGCATTAAACACTGTCAAGAGCTGTAGCAACATGAAGGCAAATGAGAACTCAAAGTTCCTATTATCAGGGGATCAGTGAATGAAAATGAACAAATATTTTAAGACTGACTCACAGTGAGAATTATAGTAAAATAAGGACTTTAATTTATAATTTTGAAGTATTTAACAAAGTTTTTGTAAATGTCATGCAGGCCTAGCATCAATAGAACAAAGCAGATGGGGAAAAAAGTGACCAGGAAGATAGCCAGTGTAGGAGTCTCAAGAAGAAAGGTATTTATCAGGAAAATATAACTACTATTTTTATAAAATTCCTGCAATTGCTTATAAAAACCACAATACTCCTTGAAGTCTGAAAACATTTTGAATATGCTTCACTTTGCAGATTTAGAAATAGTTCCCTGGTGAGGGTTCAGTTTTGAAGGAAGAGGAGCCAACAAAAAAAAAAATCAGATTGCATAAGAAGCCAAGTATAATCTTTCTTTGATGGCACTCACTGGGCATCCTATGAATTTATAATCAAGAGCTTCTAATTGATAAAGCTTTGATAGCACAAAAGGTCACCATGGATTACTTGGTCCTGCTATGCAACATACTGTGCTCTTCACAAACATTAGCAATTAACCGCAATAAATAATGACATGAGTCACCCCTTCAAACATAGGGCAGCATCCTGAAGCCCCTTACCTGCAGTAAACAGCAGTCAGAACTGGCCTTTGTTGCAAACACTTTTCAGTTGTTTTCCATACCGCCGATAAATTCTCCTCTGAAGTTTATGATTTTTTTTCCATTGAACATATACATTTATATAGGGTATAATTCTATTCTCTCACATAAGACAACCATATTTTCAAACAAAGTTTCCATATCATAAGTGATACATGTATGAACTTGTCATTTTTGTAAATCTATTTAATTAAATTATTCTTTCTTTTAACCAAGAACTTTTTACTGTCCTAATGACTTATTATGTTAATTCAGGGCAACTGGCAAGAAGGAATTAGGTGCCATTCTGTTGTAACACGTCTCATTTCCATTCCAATTTTGTTCACAATAAATGTGTTACAGTTCTTCCATTGGCAGTCAAGGAAACCTCATACAAAAGCAGCTTTTACTTGCGGTTATAAAACAGCCAAGCAATACATACGCTATTTGACAGTTTGGAATATCTGTTTTCCAGCATTCATCTGGAGCTGTTATTGGAACCATTAAAATTATTTTCTTTATAGTTTTTAAAGGCCCACAACATGTTAATTTATCCTGATGGATGGTATAATGCGTTCATGTAAAAGAAAAACAAGTGTTACATAAAACATGACTAAGCTGTCAACCACCTCCTCTTTACCTTCCTTTTAACTCTGCATGTTTAATTTATTCTCCATTGAAAATGGCAACCAATAAAAAATAAAATCCCCATTTTGATTTACTTTTTACTTTTCACACCCCTTATCACACTGAGCAATTTTTTGATCCAAAATAAGACTGAAACTTCTGCCTTCACACAAAAGTAAACACAGATGGTCCGATAATAGTAGCGAACTTTACACAAACTGCCCCATTTGAAGCAGGCCTATTTAATGCCACATTTCATTAAATATGACCTATCTTAAATCGGACAGGCTCTCCTGCAAGGAGCCAATCTTTATCTTTATTTAAACTCAGTGTGGCCTGTCACTATAAAAGACTTTGCCTTCTTTGAACAAGGGTAGACATTAAAGCTAAAGAACAGGGTGGGCCTCCTTACCCCAGCCAGGCCAATCCAATTTACAAACAGATTGTATTCAAAGGCTCTTTTGTCAGTCTATTGTAGGATTTTAAAAGCATTTTACCACAGAAACAATGTTATACCCACTGGTTAGGTTCTTAAGAAAGGTCATTTAAAAGGTTAAAAGCCTATTTAACCCAACATATAGTTGTGCTGATATTTTAATAGGAATAAAACGCACCTGTGTTAAGTAATACTATGGAATGATGTATAATAATGTCTCTGAGGAAATTCATTAAGAATTCTGACCTTTTATGCCTGTGACACAACTTCTGGTAACATCATCCTCACTTCCCTCTTGCAGACCTCCCCTGCTACTGGGCAACAGGAGTTCAACTTCCTTGTCCTAAATATAAACCACCAGTATTGGCCACTATCATCTGGAGCCAGGGCTCCAGCATAGTGGAAGATTTATGTAAGGGCGTATGAAGACAGAGACTGGGTCTGAGGGGTGAAAGTATGGGATGGGGTCTAGGAAGTTAGGAATCGACAAAAGTCTTCTGCCAGGGTACACCTCAGGCCTCACTCCTTGGTCTAGCCTGTACACCATCATTCTTTTCTTCCAGCAGCCCTGGGATTGTTCTGATTCCCCTCCAACTGCTACCACCTGTTGCTTCCACCAAGGTTTCACTCTTCCTCCTGGTCTACTGCATCACAGAACAGCAGTCTTGGCTTTTCTCCTTTGTTCCCACGTATCCTTTTGAAGTTTCCTAAAGATTGTTACAGCTGCTAACAAAGGAGGTCAAGAGATAAAAGTGTTTTTCCAAATTTGCCTTCCACATCTTTTCTTTTTTAATTGAGACTAAGTTGAGAAAAAAGCACACTTGGATAACAATCGGTTTGGTGGGGGTGGGGGACAAAAAAAGGTATAAATTTGTTTTACAACATTTAAGAGCAAGACAGCTCACATTAAATGGATATGTTCTACTCAGAAAAAAAAAAAATCTGGCTCTGCCCTCACCAGCCAGAAGTATCAAGATATTCCAATTCACTTTTGGGTGACTGCCTTCTCCTCTTCAATGCCCCCCACCAGCATGGGGAAGCAGGATGGTGCCCTGAAAACAAAGTAAATCTCTTATGATCCTTAGGCCATCATGATCACACATGAGATGTTAATTGCCTCAGTCCACCAGTCCATTCAAAGAAGGACCACACCATTCTTCTGTGCCAGGGATCTTTTAAGCCAGCTTCCATGACAGTTATAAATGTTTGCTGTCCACAGTATCAACATGAACCACCTCAACTCTCCATCCAAAGACTTATTAAAAGGCAAGGGGACAGGTTGCAACCATTCATTAAGCTATCACCCAGATTAGTACTCCCCCCAAATCTCTGAAAGCTATTTCCATTCCTGCCAGTTCTGTTTCCTCTGCCCTCCCAGAAAACCCCTCACCTTCATGCTCCCATTGCCTCCCTCCCTCAACATCTCTAATCCCAAAACAATAACATGGGTGATGGGGTTTTATTCCAGAGACCAAGAAACTTCCATTTTCATCCATGTTATTTTTCAGGTCTGCCATATAAAGGCAGTTTATAATACCTTGAAGCTAGGAATCCCAGAATCAGAACATAACAGCTCCTGGGGATAATGGAAACAACAACAAAATGTCAATAAATTATCCTGACAAATACATTTTAGAGGAATGCTCAGTCTCAGGTTTATCCAGTTATTCCATGATAGGTCTGCTGTGAAGACCAAGCCAGGACCTTAGATATGGGTACTGAGTAAATGGCATAGAGGATGAAGATGCTACCAAAGAGACCTGCATACTGGGCCTGAGAGAACCCCACCAATAGCAGGGGATGTTTACTCTCCCCTTCCCTTTTCAGTATTCTTTTCTCTCTGCTTTATGATCTTGTGATTCATTCATTTGCAATATATAATCTCTAAAGCCAACATTTATAACAGGCTTACCATATACCAGGCGGTATGACAAATAAATGATTAGTGTGATTATTTTAATTCTCACAACTCAGTAAAATAGTTTATTATTACAACTTACAGATAAGGAAACTGACAACCTTAAAAAAGTATTATATACATTTAAAGCTACAAAGAACTTATAGCTAAAAAGAGAATATAAGACTTCCTAATTATCAGAACAAAAGAACAAAACATAACAAAAATCAAAGAAAATACACCATATGGTGAAATTTTTAAAAATCAATAAACACAGAAAATATAACCTAAAATATGATGTTAATACTGAGGCAAAAAATATCTGTCATATAACTAAATGTATATGGGATAAACTCTATTTAAATAAAAGAGTTCCAGTTTTCAATAAAGGTGGTCTAGGATTTGGTGGCCTCACTCAGAAAGTTGAACTTTGCTTATTTTGAGGGTGCTCATCCCCATGGAGCATTTAATGATTCTGAAAGGGGCAGCTGAGAGGCTAAGCAGGGCTTTTGATAGCACTAGGTGAGGGACAGACTAAACTACAGATCCTGAAGGAAAAGGAGGACTCATAAATACTCTTCATTTTGGCTTCAGACCAAGGAGATACCTAGAAGGAAAGGTAAAGCAGAAGTAGGCAGACCTACACAGTGTTAAATTGTTTCAGTCCCTGAAATTGGAATGAGGTGAGTCACAGATTGCTAAGGCCCAAAGGTATTTGGCAGAAAACATAAATCTTCTATGGAAGAAGTTAGTATCATTCCATGTCTCAAATGTTTTCTAAACCTTGGCAAATATGATGTCAGGTACACAATAAAAAATAACCAGGCACATGAAGAAACAAGACAGTTTGAATGCAAGCCAGAACAACTGAAAATACAAATTTAAAAAAGGCTCCAGATATTGAAGTTATCATGTATGGACTTTAAAATAAGTATTTTTGATAGATATATAGATACATGGAAAGATATATGATATAGGAGGTATAATAAAATGTAAGGAGTGGAATATAGACGACAGGTAGATGTTAACTGTAAAATTCTTTCAACTTTTATATGTTTAAAATTTTTAAGAATAAAATTTTGGAAAAATAATATATTGAAAGGCTTAGCTTCCTGGTAGCTACAGGAGGGGAAATAACAGAAGCACAACCACCTACATGTGGTCAGGATGACTGTGATTCTACAAGATAGAAAATAGCCCACCTGCTCAGAAGTAAGCCTTTCCTGTCTTAGTGGTCTAAGGAGAATTTAAGCATGGATTCTCACAAAGGGAGCATCAGTTTTTTGTTGCTTTTTTTTTTTCAAGATGGCTAACTAGGGATGTCAGATGCCAGTTCTCCTCAGAAATAAGATCAAAATTATAGGTGAATGGTCAAAATCTGAATGAAAAAATGAAGGAAGACAACCAGGATCTGTCAGAGAGTCCAGAGAATGAAGCTGTAGTGCAGAAAAGGAAAGCAGCAGGAGTGCAGCAGAGATCAACCCCTGAGAAACCCATAGCCCTACGGAAAGGGTAGGGCTTCTCTGCTCCTCTTACCCCTGTAACAATTTGCTGACCACCAAATTTTTGAGGAGTCCCTGTGCTCTCATGACCCCAGGAAATGCTGTTGGTGGCAATCTGGGAACTTCCAGGGATAGAGAACCAGGTACCAACTCACACAGAAGTGCCTGCATACCCCTTAGGCCTGAACTGAGACAGCAGGTGCCATATTGGTTGTTCACCGATTGTGGCCCACTGCCCTCCCCAGGGAACCTCAGCCTTTGAATTGCCACATCACCAGACCCCCTGCAAACGTACCCCACAACCCGCTTTGACTTTCACAACCACAGGGGCCAGCAGGTCTCTAGGGAACTGCAGAATCTCTGGAGATCCAGCACTCAGTATGGGCTGCCCCTAGGGAAGGGAAGAATTCAGCCCACCAAAGCCCCACTTAGGACAAAGAAAACATGGGCATGGCACCAACTGCTAAAGGGGAAGGTACCAGTGGTCAGAAATGGACATGGACAGGGGGTCATCTCCTGCTCCCCCATCTACTCTTGCAGACACAGGAGAGGCTCTCCCAGCTGGGGGCTGATGTGTGTGTACTTGCTGACTGCCACTCTCATTAGGGTTACTTTCCAGTGCTTTTCATGGTAGCTGCATCCCTGATTAAAGTGATCCCCCATAGCAAGGGCTTCCACAAAGGATAGGGCCCATCTCTGCACAGGATGGCAGCATCCCAGCAATACAAGGCATGTAAGTGCAAAATTATCTGCTTTGGACTGGTATAAGAGGCTCTGCACTGAGCCCACTTTGGTGGTAGCTGTCAAAGGGGCATTCCTGCAGTCCACACCCACACTGCAGCAGGGAGTCAAAGGGCAATGTCTATAAGAACTGAAGGTCATGAGCAATGCAACTAGGGTGTGATAGGGAAGTGGATTACATGCTTGCTGGCCCAGGTTGAGAAGCTAGTGCAACTTCCCCCTCACCACCCCTTCCCCAAGAGACCTCAGTGCAGTCCAAAAGGATCTCCCCAGTCAGGAAAGTTGCCTCTATTCATTATCAGACTACTCAAGGGTGAGCTGGTTCTTATTCTTAAGTGCCACCTACTGGAATGGCAACCAAATAGCACCACCAAATAAAAAACCTGCTGTCAAAAGGTCATAGCACTAGTGTACAAGATAAGCTTCCTGAGACCTCAGCACTCTCAGCCCTGCAGGAGACAGTGTGTTGACTCATACACCCAATACATTGTTACAACAAGCAGCATTTGAGAAAGCCACCACACAAAAGCTATCCACAACCAAGGAACTCATACAGAGCCTTGGCCCCCTGAAAACACCTGGAAATGAAGCCAAATGATCATACGCAACATACACCACAGTCATACCCTCAAGTGAAACAAGACGAAAAAATCAAAAAGTCCCATCCAAATGATGGAAAATTAAAAAATAAGCAGCAACACCTCCTTCAGATGAGAAAGAATCAGTGCAAGAATTCCAGCAATACAAAAAGACCGTGTTTTAACTCCTCCACAGGATCACACCAGCTCCCTAGCAATAGATTCTAACCAAGATGAAAATTCCACAATGAGAAAAAAAGAACTCAAAACATGAATTTCAAGGATGCTCAATGACATCTAAGAGAAAGTTGAAAACCAACAAAAAGAAACCAGAAAATCAATTCAAGATATGAAACATGAGATCACTATATTAAAAAAAAACAAATAGAACTTGAATTTGAAAATTCACTAATGGAATTTCAAAATGCAATCGAAAGCTTTGAAAATTGACTACAGCAAGCAGAAGAAAGAATTTTAGAGGTTGAAGACTAATTAGACAAAAATAAAGAAGAAAGAATTTTTTAAGAAATATGGGATTATGTAAATCAACCAAGCCTATGACTTTTAGGCATTCCTGAGAGAAGAAGAAAAAGTAAGCAACTTAAAAAACATGTCTGAGGGAATAATTCAGGAAAACTTCCCTAATC
The DNA here is from genome assembly GCF_000001405.40 of Homo sapiens. Classification (NCBI taxonomy): domain Eukaryota; kingdom Metazoa; phylum Chordata; class Mammalia; order Primates; family Hominidae; genus Homo; species Homo sapiens. The sequence goes on from NC_000007.14 coordinate 91,853,432, forward strand.
TTGCCAGAGAGGTAGACATCCAGATACAAGAAATTCAGAGAACAGCTACAAGACACTATACCAGATGAACATCACCAAGGGATATAGTCATCAGACTATCTAAGATCAATGCTAAAGAAAAAAAATCTTAAAGGCAGCTAGATAAAAGGGTCAAATCACCTGTAAAGGAAATCCCATCAGACTAACAGCAGACTTCTCAACAGAAACCTTACAAGCAATAAGAGATTGGTGGTATATTTTTACCCTTTCTAAAGAAAAAAAAAATCTAGCCAAGAATGTTACATCCTGCCCAATGTAGCTTCATAAACAAAAGAGAAATAAAGTCTTTTTCCTAGACAAGCAGACAATAAGGGAATTTGACACCACTAGGCCGACCCTATAAGAAGTGCTCAAAGGAGTTCTAAACATGGAAACAAAAGGACAACAGTTGCTACCATAAAAGCACAAGTAAGTATAAAGTTCAAAGATCGTATAAAGCAATCACACAATTGGGAATACAAAGGAACTAGCTAACAACACTATGATAGGAACAAAAGCTCACATATAAATATTAACCTTGAATATAAATGGTCTAAATGTTCCACTTAAAAGAGACGGATTTGCAAATAGGATAAAAAAAATAAGACTCAACCATCTGCTGCCTTCAAGAGACTTACCTAATGTGCAATGACACAGGCTCCAAGTAAAGGGGTAAAAAAAGATATGCAAATGGAAAACAAAAAAGAGCAGGGGCTGCTATTCTAATATAAGTCTGTTTTATCTAAAACAGACTTCAATTACAGTGAAAAAGACAAAGAAGAACATTATATAAAGGGTTCAATTCAACAAAAAGATTTAACAATTCTAAATGTATACACATTCAACACCAGAGTACACAGATTTATAAAACAAATACTACTAGACCTAAGTAAAGAGATAGTCATACAATAATAGTGGGAGACTTCAACACCCCACTGACAGTACTAGACAGATTATCAAGGCAGAAAATTAACAAAGAAACTCTGGTTTGTTTGGGGTATTTTTTTTGAGACAGGGTTTCACTCTGTTGCCCAGGTTGGAGTGCAGTTACATGATCCTGGCTGACTGCAACCTCTGCCTCCTTGACTCAAGCAATCCTCCCACCTCAGCCTCCAGAGTAGCTGGGACTACAGGTGCACACCACCACTCCCAGTTAATTTTTGTATTTTTTGTAGAGTCAGGGTTTCACCATGTTGCCCAGGCTGGTCTCGAACTCGTGGACTCAAGTGACCTGCCTGCCTTGACCTCCAAAAGTGCTGGGATTACAGGCGTGAGCCACCCCAGCTGGCCAGAAAATTAACAAAGAAACTCTGGACTTAAATTGGAATATTCTGGACCTAATAGAAATCTAAAGAACACTTCACCCAACAATCACAGAATATAAATTTTTCTCATCTGCACAGGGTCATTCTCTAAAATTGACCATATGCTTGGTCATAAAGCAAGTCTCAATACATTCAAAAAAAAAAAAACTGAAATCATATCAAGCATATTCTCAGCCACAGTGGAATACAACTAGAAATCGATACCAAGAGGAACTCTTGAAATCACACAAGTACATGGAAACTAAACAATTTGCTCCTGGGTGACTTTTGGGTAAACAACTAAATTAAGGCAGAAATCCACAAAATTTTTGAAACAAATGAAAATAGAAACATAACATACCAGAACCTCTGGGATACAGCAAAAGCAGTATTAAGAGGAAAGTTTACAGCCTAAATGCCTAAAAAAAAAAAAATAGAAAGACTAGGCACAGTGGCTCATGCCTGTAATCCCAACATTTTGGGAGGCCAAGTCCAGGAGTTTGAGACCATCCTGGGCAACAAAGCAAGACCCCATCTCCACAAAAAAAAAAATAAAGAAAGAAAAGAAAAGAAAAAAGAAAAGATCTCAAACTAACAACCTCGTATCACACCTTAAGGAACTACAAAAACAAGAATAAACCAAACCCAAAGCTATCAAAAGAAAAGAAATAACAAAGATCAGAGCAGAACTAAATGAAATTGAGACCAAAAAAAAAAAAAAAAACACACACTTATACAAAAGACCAACAAAACAAAAGCTTGGTTCTTTGAATGGATAAACAAAATTAATAGGCCACTAGCTAGATTAACCAAGAAAAAAAGAGAGAACATTCAAATAAGCACAATCAGAAATGATAAAGGTGACATTACAACTGATACCAGAGAAATGCAAAAGATCCTCAGAGACGTCTAGGAACATATCTATGCACACAAACTAGAAAACCTAAAAGAAATGAATAAATTCCTAGAAACACATAATCTCACAAGATTAAGCCAGAAAGAAATTGAAATCCTGAACAGACGAGTTACAAGTTATGAAATCAAATCAGTAATAAAAAATCTACCAAACAAAAAAAGCCCAGAACCAGACAGACTCATGGACAAATTCTACCAGACATACAAAGAAGAGCTTACTGAAACTATTCCAAAAAATCAAGGAGGAAAAATTCCTCCCTAACTTGTTCTACTAAATCAGTATCATCCTTATACCAAAACCTGACAAGGACACAACAGTAACAACAAACTATAGGCTGATAGTCCTGATGAACATAGATGCAAAAATCCTCAACAAAATACTAGCAAACCAAATTCAGCAGCACATCAAAAAGATAATTAATCATGATCAAGTGGGTTTTATTCCAGAGATGCAAGGATGGTTCATCATACACAAATCGATCAATGTATTTCAACACATAAACAGAAATAAAAACAAAAACCACATGATCGTCTCAAGACACAGAAAAAGCATTTGATAAAATCCAACATCTCTTCATGATAAAAACCCTCAACAAACTACGCATTGAAGGAACATACCTCAAAATAATAAGATATATGAAAAACCCACAGCCAACATTATACTGAATGAGGAAAAACTGAAAGCATTTCCCCTGAGAAGTGGAACAGAACAAGGATATCCATTCTCATCACTCCTACTAAACAGAGTACTAGAACTCCTGGCCACAGCAATCAAGCAAGAGAAAGAAATAAAAGATATCCAAATTGGAAAAGAGGCAGTCAAACTATTTTTGTTGGCTGATGACATGATCTCATACCCAGAAAATCTGAAAGATTTCTTCAAAAGACTCCTAGACCTGATAAACAACTTCAGTAAAGTTTCAGGATGTAAGATAAGTGCATAAAAATCCATTCCTATACACTACAGTAGTGTATACATTCCTATACACTATAGTGCATTCCTATACACTATAACTCTCAAGCTTAGACCCAAATCAGGAACTCAATCCCATTTCTAATAGCACCAAAAAAAAAAAAAAAACCCTAGGCATATATTTACCAAAGGAGGTGAAACACCTCTACAATGAGAACTATAAAACACTGATGAAAGAAATCACAGATGAAACAAACAAATGGAAAAACATCCCAATTCTTATGGATTGGAATAATCAGTATCAATAAAATGCCTTCCCAAAGCAATCTACAGATTCAATGCAATTCCTATCAAATTACCAACAACATTTTTCATGGAGTTAGAATAAATAATTCTAAAATTCATGTGGCCCCAAAAGAGATCCCAAGCCAAAGCAATCTTAAGCAAAAAGAACAAAGCTGTAGGCATTACATTACCTGACTTCAAACTATACTACAAGCTATAGTAACCAAAACAGCATGGTACTGGTACAAAAACAGACACATAGACCAATGGAATAGACTAGAGAACACAGAAATAAGCCTACAACCAACTGATCTTCAAAACAGCTGACAAAAATAAACAATGCGGAAAGGACACCCCGTTCAATAAATGGTGCTGGGAAAACTAGCTTGTCATAGGCAGAAGAATCAAACTGAACCCCCATCTCTCACCATATACAAAAATTAACTCAAAATATATTAAAGACTTAAATGTAAGATGTGAAACTATAAAAATCTAGAAGGAAATCTAGGAAAAACTCTTCTAAACATTGGCCTAGGCAAAGAATCTATGACTAAGGTCTCAAACGCAAATGCAACAGAAACAAATATAGACAAATGAGACCTAATTGAACTAAAGAGATTCTGCACAGCAAAAGAAACTATCAACAGAGAAAACAAGTAACCTACAGAATGGCAGAAAATATTCACAAACTATGCATCTGACAAAGGACAAATACCCATAATCTGTAAGGAGCAAATCAACAAGAAAAAAATAATCCCATTAAAAGGGGGGTTAAAAGGACATGAACAGACACTTCTCAAAGAGGATATATAAGTAACCAATAAATATATGAAAAAAAAGGCTCACCATCACTAATCATCAGAGAAACACAAATTAAAACCACAATTAGATATTATCTCAAATCTGTCAGAATGGCAATTATTAAAAAATCAAAAAAAAAGGAGATATCGGCAAGGATGCACAGAAAAGGGAATGCATACACACCACTGGTGGGAATGTCAATTAGTTCAACTCCTATGAAGACAGTATGGAGATTTCTCAAAGAACTAAAAACAGAACTACCATACTGGAGCTGGAAGCCATTACCCTAAGTGAAATAACTCTGTGGTCTATCAATTTTGCTTATCCAAAACAAAGAACCAAATGTTTGTTTTCTTGATCCTTTGTATGGTTTTTTTTTGGGGGTCTCAATTTCATTTATACACATTTCTGTTAAAGTTAAGAAAAGAATGTCTATTAATACTATAATTACATTGTTAATGCTATTGTTATAGAAGTATCAGCTGACATAATAATTAGATTAGAAAAAGGAATGGGTAAAAAACTTTAACATAAAATGAACAGCCTTCCTGTATACAAACAGCCAGTTAAAAAATGTAGTGGGATAAAATACCTTATTTACAATAGCAATAGTAAGATAAAAATACCTAGTAATAAATTTAGCAAGAAATATGTCAGAGGTATGTAAAGAAAAGCTTTAAAATGTTACTACTGCAGGTCACACTCACACACACACATACACTTGAATAAATGGAAACAATGTGGTACCACAGATAGAGTCCAGAAATAAAACAAATAGGCCAGGCGTGGTGGCTCACACCTGTAATCCCAGCACTTTGGGAGGCCGAGGCGGGTGGATCACGAGGTCAGGAGTTCAAGACCAGCCTGGCCAACATGGGGAAACCCTGTCTCTACTAAAAATACAAAAATTAGCCAGGCATAGTGGTGGGCGCCTGTAATCCCAGCTACTCAGGAGGCTAAGGCAGGAGAATCACTTGAACCCGGGAGGTGGAGGTTGCAGGGAGCTGAGATGGTGCCACTGCACTCCAGCCTGGGTGACAGAGCAAGACTCTGTCCCATGAAAAAAAAGAAAAGAAATAAGACAAATATTTCTCAGTAGACAGAAAAAGATTATTTAATGTTGAGATATATCACATTTGAATTTTTTCATCATAAAACTACTAGAAGAAAATACGGGTAAATTATTTTATAACATTAGAATGGGAAAGTCTTTCTAAACCAGGAAAGAAAAGATAAATAAGTCCAATCATATGCACATTAAAATATTCTGCATGGCCAAAAAATACCATTAAAAAAGTTAAAAGTTAAAATTTAGGTGGAAAAGTTACAGCATTATTACAGTCAATGGGCTAATTTTCCTCAATATATAAAGAGCTCCTGCAAAAAGACAAATAGCTCAATTAGGGGTAAAATAGGCAATAGGCATAAAAAGACAATTTAGAGATTAAAAAAATACACGAGGCTTTGAACATATTTTTTAAATACTCAACCTCATTCACAGTAAATTAAATGCAAATTGAAGTTAGGAGATACTAACTTTACCTATCAGGTTGACAAGTATTGAAAAATTTAAAATCTGCCATTGGTGAAGGAGAAACAAGCATCTTCATACATTATTAGTAGATGTATAATTGGTATAGTATCAATGGAAGATAGTTTGGCAGTATATATTAAAACTTAAATGTACATATCTTTTGACCTAATAATTATATTTCTAAGACTATGTCCTAAAGATATTTTGTACATGTAAAATGATATGAAAATAAATATATTCTTGCAGGGATTATTTTAATAGCAATTTTATAATGTGTCATTTAACAATATATAATAGTAATTTAATAATAGATTAAATGCTCATCAATTAGGACTAGTTAAATAAATTTTGGTACACTCATACAAGAGTACTATGCAGCCATTAAAAAGAATGAAGCAGCTCCTTGTGTACTGACAAAGAATGATCCCTAAACTATAAAAAAGCAAGTGAAAACAACAGTATATATTTTATGCTACAATGTAAGTTTAACAATACAGGAACATATATGTACATTTGTCTTATATAAACATAGACTATCTCTGAGAGGAAAACATATTAATTTATTGTGGGGCCTCTCAGAGGTAGTCTATGGAAAGATAGATTAGATGAGTACAGGAGTGGGGAAGATTTACTTTGCATTCTAAATTTGTTTGTACCTTCAGAACTATATTCCATAAGCAGTAATTTCCTATTTTAACAGTATCAAATGCAGCAGAAAGTGCCTCAAAAAAAGACTGAAATTTGCCCAGTGCAAAGAAAAAATTTATCAATGTTGGTTTCCGTTTGAGCCACATGGCCTTTGAGGACCAGAATAGCTCTAAGGAAAAGACTGCCCCTTATTTGTGAAGATACTTCACTGAGCATTTTTGGCTATTTTGGGCTATTGTGGAGATGCTCTAGGCATAATTTAGATGGGAAGTTATTTAGGCAATGATGATTTTAAATGTTCAAGATCAACTAACAAATAAGAGGAATTTTGGCATTGTCCTCTGGTGCCTTGAAGAGCGGTGAAAGACAGAAGAAAAGAAACGAAATCAGAGTCTAAAAGTCTAGATGGGCCACATGACAGCAAGCTAAAGCCTATGAAGAGGCAGACAGTGAAAAATTCCCTGTAACAGGGAAATAACTAGGCAACAGCTCACTAGGTGATTGTAATGATCTGACTGATCACATTTTAGAACCACTGTTTCAAATAGTTCCTGAGCAGACTTTCAGATGTAAAGGACATATGTAAACTGAGCACAAAAATTTCAGGGCTGCTTTATTAATAGAATATAGAAATCTCAGGGCTACCAAGGACCTAAAAAAAAAAAATCTGTCATCTGCATGTGGTTATCAAGCATCAACATGGTCCTATTGTGCCCAAACTCAAGCAATAGAGAAGCTATATTAACAGATCATGTTGTCCAAAGCTGTGCTTTCCAATACAGTAGTCACTAGCCATATGTGGTTATTTAAATTTTAATTCTAACTAATTGAGGTTTCTTTTTTCATTAAAATTCAGTTCCTCATTAACCACATTTCAAGTACTCAATAACCACATGAGGCTAATGGCTATCTACTGGATAGAACAGAGAGAAATTTTCATCACTGCAGAAAGTTCTGTTGGGCAGCACTAGTCTAAAACATAGCATTGCCACTAAGCTGTTGATCTAATTTTGCCAACCTTTATTATTAATTTATTGTTAATTATTATTGATAAACCCCTTTAGAATTTGGATTAATAATTAGGATCCAGCAGTGAATAAATGCATTATGCTAAACACTTAGTACATGTAGCATAGATATAAGCCTTATATTCAAAATTCTTATCCTTGGACATCAAAAACATGATCGACATAGGTATCCAAATAAGTACAGCAGATGGGTGCTATACAGCAAACCAAAGAGTAGTTATTCCATATACACTACATGAAACAATTTGAGGGAAGGTTTGAAGATTTAAAAACACACACACACACACAAAAGCACTATATTAGAATTGGAGGTGGGGAAAAGCACAAGAAAATAGCTCAAGTCGGGGGTGGAAGCAAGAAAAACAGGTTTCGGTTTAGGGAAACAGAAACAAAAATCAAAAAAAGTTTAAGGAAGGTGGTAGATGGGAGGCAGCTGGTGGAGAGCTTGCATTTCATCACAAGGGAACAGTGAAACTTCCATAGAACGCCTATTCATCTTTTCACCACGGTATCACCACAGTTGACCACTGCCTCCTTCTTGAAATACTATCCTCTCCTAGCTTCCACAACTCCATCCATTCCTAGCTTTTTTTTTCCACTCAACCTCCAAATGTTGGAGAACTTAAGGCTGGGTCCTAGACTCTCTTGTCTGTTCCTCCTCTAAAGCATTCTCAAAATTTTAATTATCATTTGTATGCCATTAATCCCAGAAGTTATAGTTCTACCTCAGAATTCTCCTCTAAACTCTACTCATATATCTAAATGGCTTCTTTGACAAGTCTACTTGAATGTCCCACCTGCATCTTGTCCAGAAAAGGGATTCTGACAGATACCAGCAAGCATCACTTAGAACACAATAGAGCTAACTCACAGGCAGAAGGTCTGCAGCTTGCATGGGTCTCTTGTCCTCTAGCCATCCTGTGGAGAGGCATGGTTGGGCCGGCATGCCACTGGACACACCACTGGTATATCCTCAAACAGAATGACCCTTCCTACTATTGCTGTTGGTCTTTACACAGCTTTGTGAGCAAAGAGAAACTATATTTGGGTCACCTGGTTCTCATAAAAGGTACCAACCAGTGCTGGGAACAGCGCTGATGATACCCGAAAATCTTTTTGAGAAGGGTAATGAAGTGCAGGCACTCACACCAGGGGAAAAAAGGCCATCAGTGATGTCTCATTGCCAGACAATCCATAGGAGGCGTCAGGGTCATCCATCATCCTTCTTGTCTCTTCATACATCCCAAGTTTAACATGTCCAAAGCTATATGCTTTATTACCTGTATCCTAAACCCTTTTCCCTCCAATTTATTACATCTCCAAAGGTACTGCCACATACTTCTTGCTTAAGCTGAAATTCAAGGAGTTATCCTTAATTCCTCCCTCTCCCAAATTCCTCACATCCAATCCATCACCAAATTCTATAAGGATGTCTGGTCCAATATGGCTGTCATTAGCCACATATGGCAACTAAGCGCTTGAAAGGTGGCTGGCCCAAATTGAGGTGTGCTTTAGGCATAAAATATGCATCAGATTTGAAGATGTAGTACAAAAACAGAATGTCAAATAGCTCAATAAATTTTATATTGAGTATGTGTTTGTGAAAACATTTTTATATACTGGGTTAAATTATTAAGTTAATTTCACCTATTTCCTTTTTATTTTTTTAATGTGGTTACAAGAAAAATTAAAATATACATATGGCTTGTATTCCTGGCTCAAAATAAATCTATTGGGCGCTGCTGTTGTCAAGTGTATCTATCAACTTCTTCCCAAATCTACTGTCACCACCCTAATCCAAGTCACCATCATTTCTGGCCTGAACTACTACAATGGCTTCCTTATTGATCTACACGTTTCCTCACTTGTCCCATTCCAAATGATTCTTCTCACAAGTTACTGGACTCAGTTGTAAATGTAAATTCCATTATATTTTCCTATTTGCTTAACAAGTCTCAATGATTTTCTCATTGTCCTTAAAATCCAATCTTCCTTTCACGGACTTTGACGCCCTGCATGTAATATGTTTCCAGCCCCCCACATCCCCACTCATCTTTATGACTTCATCTAAATTCTGCTTTGCCCCACCACTTACTATTCTCCAGAAGCACTGGGCATTCTTCCATTTCTAAGACATACCACACTTATACCCAGTAGGGCCTTCACACCAACCATTTCCTATGTCTGTAATGCTCTGCCTCACTCATTGGCCATCTCCTTCTTATCCTTCAAGTCTCAGCTTACATTTTAGCTCCCTAAGAGGCCATTCCTGATTGGCCAGTCTGTTTCCGCCCTTCATTCTCCAACCCAGAACTGTTTCCTTGTAACACTTTTCTCAATTTATAGTTACTTATTTATTTGTATATTTAGCTGATAATTGCTCTATCATTCTCCGCTAGACTGTAAGCTCCATGATAGGAGGGACCAGGTCTGTTCAGCCTAGCAATATAGACCCAGTATTGGTCAGGAAATTATTTTAGGGGCACTGTATAGAATATTTAGGAGTAGGGGCTGGGCGCAGTGGCTCATGCCTGTAATCCCAACACTTTGGGAGGCCAAGGCGGGTGGATCACCTGAGGTCAGGAGTTCAAGACCAGCCTGGCCAACATAGTGAAACCCCATCTCTACTAAAAATACAAAGGTTAGCTGGGTGTGGTGGCAAGCACCTGTAGTCCCAGCTACTTGGAAGGCTGAGGCAGGAGAATCACTGGAACCTGGGAGGAAGAAGTTGCAGTGAGCCAATATCACACCACTGTACTCCAGCCTGGGCAATAAAGCAAGACTCCATCTCAAAAAAAAAAAAAAAAAAAAAAAAAGGAATATTTAGGAGTAGGAATTAGAAGTGAAAAGGTTAGAGGCAAAAGAAAAGAATCCAAGAAGAGCAATTAAAGTCCATTCTGATGATCTAGCAATCCCACTACTGGCTATGTTTCCAAAGGAAATGAAATCAGTATATCAAAAAGAAGATATCATTATGTCTTCACTCTTGTGCTCATGCAGCATTATTCACAATAGCCAAGATATGGACTCAATCTAAGTGTCCATCAACAGCTGAACAGCTAAAAAAAAAATGTGGTATATATACACAAGCAACTACTATTCAGCCTTATAAAGAAGGAAATTCTGTCATTTGCAACCACATGGATGAACCTGGAGGACACTATATTAAGTGAAATAAGCCAGGCATTGAAAGACAAATATATTATCTCACTTACATGTGGAATCTAAAAAATACAAACTCACAGAAGCAGAGAGTAGAATCAGGGAAGGATTGGGCAAATGTTGGCCAAAGGATACAAAATTTCAATTAGACGGGAGGAGTAAGTCCAAGAGATCCACTGTACAACATGGTGACTCTAGTTAATAATAATGTGTTATATACTTGAAAATTGCTGACCAGGCATAGTGGCTCATGCCTGTAATCCCAGCACCTTGGGAGGCCAAAGCAGGCGGATCACTGGAGCCCAGGAGTTCGAGACCAGCCTGGGCAACATGGTGAAACCCTGTCTCTACAAAAAACTACAAAGAATTAGCTGGGCGTGGTGGCGCATACCTGCAGTCCCAGCTACTCGGAAGGCTGAGGTGGGAGGATCACCTGAGACAGGAAGGTCGAGCCTGCAGTGAGCTGTGATCACACCACTGCACTCTAGCTAGGCAACAGGGTAAGACCCTGTCTCAAAAAAAAAAAAAATGAATGAAAGAAAAACAAAATTGCTAAGAAAGTAGATTTTAAGTGCTCTCACTACAAAAAAAGATAAGTATGTGAAATAAGGCATATTTTAATAAGCTTGATTTGGCCATTCCACAATGTATACATATATCAAAACATGTTGTACACCATAAAAAAAATACAATTTTTATTTTTGTCACTTAAAATAGTTATACCATGGAATACTATGCAGCCATAAAAAGGAACAAGATCATGTCCTTTGCAGGGACATAGATGGAGCTGGAAGCCATTATCCTCAGCAAACTGACACAGGAACAGAAAACCAAACACCACATGTTCTCACTTATAAGTGGGAGCTGAACAGTGGGAACACATGGACACAGGGAGTGGAACAACACACAATGGAGCATGCTGCAGCAGGGGTTGGGGGAGGAAGAGCATCAGAATAAATAGCTAATGCATGTGGGGCTTAATACCTAGGTGATGGGTTGATAGGTGCAGCAAACCACCATGGCACACATTTGCCTATGTAACAAACCTGCACGTCCTATCAGTCTTTGATAACCTTTCCAGGAAGTTCCATTATGCTACATGGAAAGAAAATGGGATTCTCTGGACAAGCTCTGAGCTCTATTAATTCTCTATGGTGACCTCCTGAGCCCAAAGAGGCCTCCTGGAATGCCAGTCTTTTCCCTATAGGTCTCAAACAGCACATCCCTTAACCACAGCGGTCCAGGCTTGCCAAGTCTCCAATTTACATAAAGACAAGTCATAAATGATATGTGATGTGGAAGAATGCTTATCATATATTTATAAAAACAGGTTTAAAATAGTTATTACATAAGAATCCAGTGTCAAGCACAATAGTGCATAGTCAGTGCTCAACAAATATGTGTTCAATAATTTAATTAATTTTAGCCAGAAAATGGGTATTTATTTTCTACACAAAACATACATGCATGGGGAAAAAAAACTAGAAAGTTATATTAAATAATATTAACAAGTACTATCTCAGGGTTATTGGAATTATAAGTACTTTTTGTGTGTGCGCTCTTCTGTGTTTTCCAATGTTGGGTAATTACATGACTATTTTGCAATCAGGAAAAAAATATTATTTTTATAAACAAACCAACAAACTATCAAAGCTACTACTGAGCTCTTCCATGCTCCCAACAGCATCAATGTTGGCAGTAACTCAGAATGTGGTCTTTATATAAATAGCAGTTTGACTGGGAAAGGAGGAGAGGGTGTACTTAGGTTCTCTGAAGGTCCTAGTTGACCAAGCCATTGCCAAGGTGTCACCCTTGCTCACGGACTCTAGGGAAGAAAATATAGGAGCACAAGGCAAAACTTACCTAAAGAAGTATTAACTTCACCCTAGGGGATTGGGAGAGGGAGAGAATTTCTCTATCTGATGACAGATCTGTTCCAGAGTCTGCTGTCAAATCTTCAGATGTCAGGTAGAATTTGAACCAGAATTCAACTTGATTAGGGCATGATGCAGACAATAAAGACATAACATCATTTAACTCCAGAGACTTCAACCTCTTTTGTAGCCACCATAACATCTAGGGCATGCTTTGTACATATGGTGCTTTATACCGCATTTATTTTACTTTTTTCGAATTCTACCATTTTCCCTCACATATCAATCCTCAGATCTAGAACTATTTACCAAATCACAGTTAAGTGGGCAAGGTCATTAAAGCAGCTATTAGATGCCATGGGAGACCCAAGAGCACATGCATTTGTTTGCAACTTTTTCTAAATGATGGAGAAATCAAGGATAGTTTATAATGTGCATATAACATTTAGTCTCACAACAAAATCTGATTCCCTCACTTCAGATGTCACAATTAGGATCTCTATTTAAAAAAACTCCTAAACCCCCAAAAAGATGAAAATTTAAGATCAGTTGCAATCATGTGGAGAACATACCACTTTATGTTGGGTTTTGTGTACAAATACACAACAAATACCACCACAGAAGTTGACAGGTGAAAATTAAGTAAGAACAGAAGATTTGGCAGTAGTAACTGAATAAGTATAAAGACATTGCTGTATATTTTTAAGCATTAACATTGTGTAACAAACAAGGTGTTAAACTTAGATGAAAATGAAAAAAGCACCCTAATGTAATTTCAGAACTAAGACAATGAAAAATGAAAAAGTGGTACTTGAAAAAGAAAGAAAGAGAGAGAGAGAGGAAGGAAGGAAGGAAGGAAGGAAGGAAGGAAGGAAGAAAGGAAGGAAGGAAGGAAGGGAGAGAGAAAAGAAAAAGAATAACCATTAAAAGAAAACAGTTTCAGACATTAAACTAACAGGGAAATATATATATGCAAAAGTATCTGTTTATTTTCTTACAGCTTAAGGCTGACAACCTACAGAAAAAATGGCACAGTGCCGACCTCTTTTGGCATTTAAAGGACGCTTAATTTAGTTTGGATTATCAGCCAGATTTAGAGCTAATTGGCTTTAGAAACTGTACAGCAAAACCTCTATCTAGTTCCCCCTACAGTTCATGAAGTTCTACACACAAGTAAACACAGATTAAGACCTAATTTTAATCTTTTTAATCAGTTATATATAATTTATATACTTGTTATCACAAAGTTAAACTTTAATTCTGTGAATAATTTATCACATTCAGCTAAAACAGTAAGCTATAGCCAGCTGTATTGTACTTATATGAATTGCAAACATAAAGCTTCATTCAGAAGGGCTTCTGAAGTAGCTGTGCAGGTCAGAGAGAGAAATTCAAACATACAGAGTGGGATAATGCTGATCTAACTGCACTAATTTTGTCATAGACACTTTAGTTGATATTTAGGGTACAACATGACAATCAGTTCTCCCTAACTGCAGTAAAGCAAAAAAAAAAAAAAAAAAAAAAAAAAAAAAGATTGCCTCTAACTTGGGTGGTTGCAGCCTACTTTCCTTGGAAAAGGAGGCTATATGTAGCTGTATGACAGCGTAAACCCAATCCATTAACTAATTAAATAAACCAGTGCTTAACAGGGCATGGGACTTCATAAGAGCCTTTGTTTTCTTGTGACGAAAAGGTCAAAATCTAGGTTTTTTTTTTTTCTTCTTTAAGAGATGGTGGCTTCCTATGTTGCCCAGGATGGACTCAAACTCCTGGGCTCAAGGAATCCTCTCATCTCAGGCTCCCGAGTAGCTAGGAATACAGACACGAGCCACCATGTCTAGCTGGAAGTTAGACTTTATCTGCATTCCTGGAATAGTAAAAGCAAAGCACGGGTCAGCTGCTTTCGGTAAATTCTAGCCCATAGGTCCAAGTCAAGTTCCAGGAAGCCCCCTATGAAAAAGATTCTGATATTAGTACCAGTGTTTAGTTCATGTCATGGCCTGACTTAAGTATAGGTCATTAAGTGTAATGCCAAGGCAGGGGCTTGAGTGGTTTGGAGCTCATGACTGTTCCACTTGGAATTTATCCTGGTGTATGAATACGAATCTATCAATATTTTTTTTCAGGTGGCTTCCCAGTTCTCCCAACACTTTTACTGAAAAGATACTGTCTAACTATTTATGTCAATATAGAAACATAAAGTCAAATATATTTGTTTAGTAGACTTGAAGAGAGCCTAGAAACACACTCAGAGACATGTAAACAGCATCAGACGAAGATGGCATTTCAAATCAGAGTTGAATGGATTTTTCAGCTTTGCTGAGGTATAACTGAAGTGTACTAAACTGCACATATTTAAAACATATAATTTGATACATTTTGACTCACAAAACAATCACCACAATCAAGATGATGAATATATAGATCACTCCCAAAAGTTTCCCTGTAGTCTTTTGCAGTCCTTTCTTCATGGCCTTCTTCATCCATCCACCCCATCTCGGTAACCAATGATCTGCTTTCTGTCACCACAAATTAGTGAGCACTGTCTAGAATTTTATGTAAACTGAATAATAAAGATTTTACTCTTTCGCTTCTTTCATTCAGCATATTTTGAGATTTGCTCATGTAGTTGCATGTATCAATATTTCATTATTTCATATTGGTGAGTAATATTCCACTGCCTGAATATATCACAATGTACTTTTCAATTCCATGTTGTTCCAATGTCCATTGGGTTACTTCCAGTTTTTGGTTATTCCAAGTAAAGCTGTTTGAACAAGTACAATTATTTGAATAGACATAAAGCATGGCAATGTTAATTTCAATGTAGAATTCAAACCAAAATGTATTAACTACAATAAGAGAGAGCTTTATATTGCTGTCTACCAAAAAGATACAGGTCAATAGCTTTCATATAAGCCTTTACAACAACTTTCCATTGTTGTAAAAGATCTATTCTGAACAAAACACCAGGCCCAGATAATTTCAAAGTTGTGCCAAACTTTAAAGAAATGATCATTTCCAGTTTTCAAACAGTTTCAAAACATAGGGAAAAAATAGTAAGCTTCCAAATTATCTTGAGGCTAGCACAGCCCCGATCCAAAAACCTGACAAAGTGGCAACCTCCTTCCCCTATTAAAAAAAAAAAAAAAAAAAAAAAAAATCTATGTACCAAAACTTTCATAATAAAAGGTAGGAAGGATCTGTAGACCAATCTCCCTTGTGAATACTAATGAAAATCTAAGTAAAATATTAGTAAATTGAATAGGGCATAGGTTTTAAGTAAAAACAAAAAGTGATATGCAGAAATCCACTGATGTCATTCATTAAATGATTAAGAGATTACTTTTAAAGGATTTTTTTTCAAAAACCATCTTTCATCCCTGATTTAAATAAATAAACCCCTTTGTGAACTAAGAATAAAAGGATATCTCTTCAACCTCATGATAAATAGGTTAGCTGAGACTTTGTTTCTTTGTATTGTTCAAAGACTTTTACAATGATTATTACCACAGAATAAATTCATTTCCAAGGTAAACTTTTAAAAGAAAGAGAATTATGGTGGGCAGAATTTGAAGGTACCTTGAGAGCTGGTGAAAGTGGCACTGGGATATTCAAAATGGAAATGAAAGAATTAGCATATCATCATACTAAAATTGTTCATAATTAACATAAAGCAATTCATGTACAAAAGTTCATTAATCTTCACATAATATTTCTATTAAGGACAAATAAATCCCAAATACTGATCAGAAAAATAGTGAAACTGAGACAGAAAATGAAATTCCATCAGTGTATCTTCTATTTCTTCCCAAAATCTAATAATAATACAGTCCTGCTATTCTAGCTCGCTTGTGCCAAACTTTTCCTGAACTGTATAACAATGGACTATTACCAAAGTTTGTGGCTAGGGTTCTGCCATCAACAGTTCTCTACTGGATCTCCACTAGATGGTAGCAAGTAAGGAGGCATTACAGACTAACAAGGAAGGAGCCAGTAGTCAGGGTTTTGTTTTGTTTTTTTACAGGAAAGCTATATTGTTGGATCTTTAGCCATAGACCATGTACCTACCCAGCCTTAGAAATTATTTAAGGGGAGAAATTACTAGTTTAATAACCCAATAAACCCATCTATAAATATTCACTTTTTAAATTCCTTCCTGCTAAATTCATCTGGAAGAAACTCATTTTTTTTCTTTTTAATCTGTGATATTATCCAAATTCTTGCAGTTATTTGAAAGTGCTCAAATTTATGGCAATAATTTAGAATGGTTTCCATTAAAAATGAAGTTTTACAGATCCATCTGACATTTGGAGAACGGCAAAATGCAGCACTCTTAATATTTATATTTTCTAGACCAAAATTTTAAGTTATAAAATATACCAACGATTAAAACATGGTGGTATGCATTAACACTACGGAATACTGAAATAATCTAGGTAGGATTTTCAAAAAATTGCTAATGTACTAAAATTTACTCACTCTGACCAATGGTGACAAATTATGGTTTATCCAAAGAACAGAATTTCATGCAGCCATTAAAAAATCATGTTATAGGTAAATACTTGATTTTGTAATTAGTTACTAAAGAATACTTAGTATGTTCAGGATCTATTACACTAAAAAAATTATAAAATAGTTTGGTTTCAAACATATATGCCACTCATCTACTCATATTACATGCACGTATGGATATGTCTACCAACAAAAACAATAGGAAGAGTCACCAAAATGTTAATGATCTCTGAGAGATAAGATTATAGTTATTTTCTTTTGGGGGGTTTATTTTCTATCTTTTCCCATCATAAACATGGATTTTTTCACTCATGACAAAATATTACTGAAGATTTCTGTAATTTATTTTTTGAGACAGGGTCTCACCCTTGCCCATGCTGGAGTTCAGTGGCACAGTTGTAGCTCACTGCAATCTCAAACTTCTGAGCTCAAGGGATCCTTCCACCTCAGCCTCTGAATAGCTAGGACTAGAGGTGCGCACCACTATGGCCGGCCTTTTTTTTTTTTTTTTTTTCCCTACTAGCAATGATATCTTGCTAGTATTACCCAGGCTGGTCTTGAACTCCTGGGCTCAAGCAATCCTCCCACCTCGGCCTCCCAAATTGCTGGGATTACAGGCGTGAGCTGGGATTACATGGCTGGCCAATATTTCTATAATTCTATCTTTAAAAAAAAAGAATTGACTCTCCCTTGATCAGACTCAAACCTTAAAGTATGACATGTTAATTTTGCCTGACAGGCATTATCTGTTTGTTTCTCCAAAGTTTTCCTTCCCCCATCCCCTACTGCCCAATGATCAAGTGCTGTACTGTACTTCAGTGCAACCCACATTCTCTCTGGCCACTTGCAACTATCGTTGCTATACCATTTCTCATCAGCCCAGCTACAATCCTATGATCTGCTGATGTCAATAAACTATTATCTCTTCTACCCACCTCCTTCAAGTCCCTTATGAGCTTGTTAGATTCCAAAACAATACCTCAGAAAACACTCGCGTACAATTCAGAAGACTTAAGAAATCAATACTTTAAGCCATAACAGTAAAATGTATTCCCAATACTACTGTACCCATACAATGGAATATTACTTGCCAAAAAAAATGAAATACTAATATGTGCTACATGGATGAACCTTGAAAATATGCTAAGTGAAAGAAGCCAGTCACAAAAGACCATACTGTATGATTCCATTTATATGAAATGCTCAGAATAAACAAATTTATAGACACAGAAAACAGATTCATTTTTGCTTAGGCTTGGGGGAACAAATGGAGGGAAATAATGGGGATTCACTAACAGGTACAAGGTTTCTGTTAGGACTGCAAACATATTCTAAAACTAGATTGTGGTGATGGTTGCTGCTATGGTTTGACTATCCATCCCCTCCAAAACTCATGTTGAAATTTAATCCCCAATGTGGCAGTATTGAGAGGTGGGGCCTTTAAGAGGTGACTGGATCATAAGGGCTATGTCATCAGAAATTGATTAATCTATTCATGGATTAATGAATTAATAGGCTATCATGGGAGTGGACTGGTGGCTTTATAAGAGGAAAAGAGACCTAAGTACATTAGCAATCGCCATGTGATACACTGTGCCGCCTCAGGACTCTTCAGAGTCCCCACCAGCAAGAAGGCTCTCACCAGATGTGGCCCCTCAACCTAGGATTTCTCAGCTTCCATAACTGTAAGAAATTCATTTTCCTTATAAATTTTCCAATAAATTATAAATGTATTATAAGCAATGGAAGATAAAGTTGCACAACTCTATATATAAATTGAACTGTGTTAGACTTTAAATAGGTAAATTGAATATGTGAATTATGTATAAAGCTGCTTTTTAAAATACTATCTTTTTATTATAGCTATCACTGATTGCATCATTACTATGTGCAAGAAACCTTAGAGGTGCTTTTTCATTTGATTCCTACCAACTCTGGAAGGTCAATTTCTGGTGTTACAGATGAGAAAAACAGGTTTAGTAAATTTAAAACATTAACACAAGTTACTCAGGAATGGTGCCCAGATACATCACTCTAAAGCTCTTGCTTTCTAAACTATGCCATGCTTGCCATCAAATAGTTAACCAAATTATAATAGGAGTATCGTTGAATATATAAATGGCCTTAGAAAAGCAGACATATTGTTTTTATCAATAGTAGGAATAAGGTTTTTTGAAGTATCACTGATAGCAAATGAGGTTTAAAAGGTTGAGCACCATTATGTTATTTAATTCAAAAACCACATCTAGAAAACAAATGCCTCTGGAAAACAATTAAAATTAAGGTCATATAATTTGTCTCACGTCTTTCAGTTTATGTCAGAGCTAGATTGTATCTTGAAAATACCGACATTATCTGATTTGCCATTTTTTAAGTCAATGCCTCTGAAAATTACTCTTTAATATTAGCTGAAATGCCAACAAAATGCACAGAAATGATTATCATTTCCTTAAACTATATTAGGCAAACATATTCCTTTATTTAGATTTTATATTCACATTTAGTTTTTTATGCACACATTTAAGACTTTATAAACACTAACATTAGCAATTCCAGAAGGGTAGGTAGATTTTTTAAATATAATTACTCTTATAAAAGGAAGAAATAGAGACTTTACTAAAGGACTGTATTTTTGACTTCACCTATAATGCAACTAATCATCTACTTAGTTGCTATGTTAATCTATTTGCTTCTTCAGCAAATTATCACTGACTCAGTGGTTTAAAACAACACAAATTTACCATCTTATGGTTCTGTGGGTCAGAAGTTTGACATTGATCTCACTGGGCTAAAAAGGTGCCAGCAAGGCTGCATTCCTTTCTGGGGACTCTAATGGAGAATCTGTTTCCTTGCCTTTTCAATCTTTTTTTACAGGCCCCCTTCATTCCTTGGCTCAAGGTGTCTTCCTCCTTCAAAGCCACCTTTTAACTTCCTTCAAAAGTAGTTGTCTTTCTTATACAGGATCACTCTGACCTCCTCTTTTGCCTCCCTCTTCAACTTTTAAAGATCCCTACAATTATATTAGGCCCTCCAAAGTAATTCAGGATAATCTCCCCATCTCAAGGCCCTTAATAACATTTTAAATTAATCACTTCTGCAAAATTCTTTTGCAATGTGGCATAACATATTCACAGTTCCTGAGAATTAAAAACATTGGCATCCTTAGGCAAATCTGCTTAACTTTTTCAATTTAGCTTCATATCTTTTTTTACTCCAAGATAGAAGAGTGATGTTTAAAGTACTCAAGTTACAGCCAGCATTTACCAATTCTTTGATTCGACTTTTTAAAGTACTTATGCTTGAATCCAGAACCCGAGGATTTTCGATTATTTGTGAAATGCTAATGTTTTCTTCCATGAGGCAGTCTATTTTATCATTAAACTTTTTCTCTGCCAAGAAGATCACATCTGGATAGCTTAAGACAAACTTCTGTACCTCTTCTTCAGTACATCCAAGAGAAAACAGCTTCTCTTTGATGTTTGCGTAGCTTCTTCTGGCATAGTCATTGGAAAGGTCTAGGATTTCAGCTCCTGGACCACATATCAGAACCAGCAGTTCCTCACTGTTCAAATTGAAAGTTGACCGTAAGAATTCAATGTTAGCTTTCACCCGCTTGGTGCTCTGAATTAAGATAAAAGGGTTTTTAAAAATTATCTTTCTGACAAAATCTGCGGGATCATTGTGACCCAATGACAAACCGGCTGCCTGCAAAAATTCAACCATCTGTTTATTCAGATCAAGACTATTGGAGAAGGTACGAGGGGCATTGGTCAACAATCGACAAAGGCATTTACGGGTCAATCCAACTGAGTAGAGGAACTTTATATTATTCTCTAAGTTTAGGTTGTTATTGGACCGAAAAAAGGATTCAGGAGAACGTTCCAAAATATTTACAATTTCAAGGTCTGATGTCACAATCTTTCTCCACAGATCCCACCGTTTTGAAAGATTCTCGGGAGTACGTGTTATTGCTCGTGGATATCTTGATATGATGCTAGCGATCACTTCTTTGCTAGCTCCTTTGGAAAGAAGGAACATCTTCAGGTCCTGCTCATTGGTAATCATCCTATGAAAAACTCCAGGCTGTCGTTTCCTTGCCATGTCAATATCTACTCCCATAGTAAGTAAGTTTTTCAGTAGGTCCTCATTTTTCAAAGGCTCACTGTCTGTATTATGACACTTCACACCAAAAAGCCTAAATGAAACTGATTTGAAGATGTTTTCTGCTGAAAATCGAGTCATCCAACATCTTGAACCAAAGAGAAAGTTATTTCTCATATGCCAGAGGTTTCCTGGTGCCATAATGGTTAGGTAGTTCAAACCTTTTGAAATGCTGTGTAAAACAACACATAAAATATTACACAAATGCATGTGTTAAACAACTAAATGACCATATTACAATCCTATAAGCATCATGGTCATTTCTATGAGAATATACCTTCAGCTCCAGCTCTCCAGAACTGTGTTAATAATTCAGCCACTGCTGAATTATTAAATAAATAGTAAAACTACAATTTATATTTGTCTTAGCCTTTGAAAAATTCTACATGTTTTATAATATAAACAATATGATTGTACTGTAAGACATATATAATCAATAAACAAATGTACATATATAACTGTCTCTCCCTAGCTCACTGCTTCTGTTACCTGTAAGCACAGGACTGCTTCCATTGTTAACCTAAAGAAAAGCAGGTGGGGCACCATTAGTGCCCCAGAATTGTTCTTGCTTTTTTCTTGCTCTTTTTGTTTACCTTTGCCTGCCTTGGCTACCTAAAATCAGTTGACCCTCTCCATCTCTGCTTTGTCCTCCTGATTTCCAAACTTTTTTTTTTTGACACAGGGTCTCACTCTGTCACCCAGGCTTGGAGTGCAGCAGCACTATCATGGCTCGTTGCAGCCTCACCTCCCTGGGCTCAGGTGATGCTTCCACCTCAACCACCTGAGTAGTTGGGACCACAGGAATGCCCCACACGCCCAGCTGATTTTTTATTTTTATTTTTTGTAGAGACAGTGTTTCACTATGTCACCCAGACTGGTCTCAAACTCCTGGGCTCAAGTGATCTGCCTGCCTTGGCCTCCCAAAGTGCTGGGATTACAGGTGTGAGCCACCATGCCAGGCGTGGCTTATTTCTTATAATGACACTTTCATTTCTGCCTCATATTTCAATTTTCCAGGTCTTCGACCTTGCCCTGCCCATAGATACTAGATTTCTTTGCCTCTGGCCTCCTGGTTTTCAAACTCTAAATCTAGCCCTGAAAACCAACACCTCAGATTAATTTCCATCTTGAACATCTTTTCCTAAATTCCTGCTACCCTTTATATCCATGCTACCATTAAAGCCTTAATTTTTCTTAGCTTATATAGACCTCTAGTCAACAGCTCTTGATCACAATCTCCATCTCATTTGGTTTACCCTATCATTCCCTACGTTGTAACCCAATAATTCCAAACCAATTTTCATCTTCAAAATGATCTAGTTGTGATATTAAATCCACATGGCCCGCCACATGTGAAACTGTGCTGAAAGATGGCATGTAAACATTAAAACGTTACCTTTACCATTCTCCCCTTCTCCATCACCATATTACACAAGACTAATTCTGGGCTGTTTGCATCTGTTACACAACACTTTCAACTTGCAGCTTCTAGCATGTGACTAAAACCTCAATAACTCATTTTCCTGATCATTTGGAAATGGGGCTCAAAACATACAAACTTATTTATAATCATAACCATAGGTCCCTACTAAAATGAGCATCTCTATTTATAAGAAATATTTTATGAGGAAAGCAACAGAAAAAGTGTTCTGTTATTCAACCTATCTGATGATTTGTTTCTAAGCTACTTGTGCCTGAGTCATATAACAGTACATATATATTTTTTAAACTGTACTTTTGCCTTTTTAGAATATATAGCTGTAACAAGTTCGTGCTTGATTTCTAATTACT
This sequence comes from Homo sapiens, assembly GCF_000001405.40. NCBI lineage: Eukaryota > Metazoa > Chordata > Mammalia > Primates > Hominidae > Homo > Homo sapiens. The sequence continues at coordinate 91,876,384 of NC_000007.14, forward strand.
TACAATGGGCTCTTACTTAGAAAAGGCATTTCTTTTTTCTCCTTCTCCTAATTAAGCATAAAACAGAAAATAGAGATAGATAATTCCAACCCACTACTAACCTCTTTGGGCTAAAGATACTGCTTTCAAGATCAATTTCAAAGAAAGCCTCTTTGTGTCTGTCCTTTCAATTACTCCAATTTTAACTAGAACTTGATTATGCCTACAGGCAGGGAACATTCCTGTGGCTCACATAATCTACAGATTCTCACAGAATTGGGAAAAGATCCCAAAACTACAGAATCAAGTAATGTTCAAAGCCAAATGCAAGGTACTCACAACATAAACATCAAACAACAAAAGCACATTTCAGATTGATCCATACTCTACTGAGCTCACTATTCTTCACTTCTCCGTAATACCACATACTACTCTGTAATTACTCTTCCAAAAATGCATGAATTTAGAAACTTTAAAATATAATTATCCTTCTAACTGAAGAATGACGGCTCTACCTTGCATAGTTCAACAGCCTGTTTTCTCTTCCAGATGCTCGACTGACCTCTACTGGAATAAAGGGGCAGAATGCGTCAGCTGGAAATCAGATCAGTACTTTCTAGAGAGGTCCAAGATGATACAATGGGATGGAGGAAGAAAATAGTTAAAACTACAATTTGTATTTGTCTTAGCCTTTGAAAAATTCTTTCTACATATGTTTTATAATATAAACAATATGATTGTACTGTAAGACATATATAATCAATAAACAAATGTACATATATTGTAGGCATATTTCTATTGACAATGTACACAATCAAAAAAGTGTGAAGACTACTAGACAGTGCACTTTCTTAGGACTATTAGCATCATGGTAAACAGGCTGAATAAGCCACAGAATGTTCAACAGAAATTCTATTAATAACAAACTAAAAATAGGTGAAAATGTAAGCCAAAATTCCTAACAAAAAGTAACAAATCTATAAACGTTTCTTCTAAATCTGTCACAAGTAAATTTCATGTCTTGTGTATAACTCATCCTCCATGGAAGTTTCTTCCACACAAACTTAACATGCCCCAAACTTGAGTATCTTTCCCAGTCCCCAAATTTGCCCTCTTCTGACTAAAGATATCATTATCACAATCACTATCTAAGAGTCATTTGTGATAAAAATCTAAAAGTGAGCTTTGCTTTCTTCCTCTTCCTCAACTCCAGTCATCAAATCACGTAGACTCAACTTCTTTGGCATCTCTCTGAAATCCAACCTCGCTACTCTTTGTAATTCTCATTCTGTTACAAGTCTTCATTCTCTTTTACCCAGCCTGTAACAGCCACCTGATGTGCTTCTCTGACATCCATCACTCGAAACTGCCACCATACTGACATTTGTAAAATGATGTGATTATGTCCCTCATTCTCTGATTAAAGACCTTCTGTAGCTCTCCCCGAAAAAACAAAATCTTCAAAGTGATCTTTTTCTAGCTACCTTTTCAGTTAGCTAACTACCTTACCATCTACTTCTAACTACCTTTCTAGCTATCTCTTCTATTGTACCACCTCAATACCTAGCACTATCGCCTCTCAAACCTCTGATCCCAAACATCCTTGCCCATTCCTGTCTCCCTACCTTTGCTTAAGCTGTTCTTTCTTTTAGAAAGGCCCATCCTCCTGATGCCTATCCATAGGACAAGGTCCCATTCAAATATAATCTTCCCTCAAATCCTTAACTTACTTTAAAATACTAACCACTGAAATCAACCATTTGTTTTATGATAATTTATTACTAAGGAATCTAAAACTAAGCTTTCTATTTATAGAAAACAAGAGCTGAAATGGACTTACAACTGGCAACTGAAATTTGGTCTTGATTACAATACTAAAATGCAATAAATTTACTCTAAAAATGACATCTAAAAATGACATGTGTGGTCTCAGCTAAACCTAGAAATTTGGTCTTGATTACAATACTAAAATGCAGTAAATTTACTCTAAAAATGACATGTGTGGTCTCAGCTAAACTTAGAAACAGTAATTAATAATATTGACTGTTAATGAACATATGAGGAAACAGAGGAAATTCTCAAATATTGTTAATGGACCAGAATTTGGCACCAGCTGCCACAATTTTAAATGTTCATAGCCTTTAATTCAGCATTTCCACTTCTTGGAGATTATCCAAAGGGGGAAAAAAGGGCCAGGGGCAGCGGCTCACACCTGTAATGCCAGCATTTTGGAAAGCCAAGGTGGGAGGATTGCTTAAACCCAGGAGTTTGAGACCAGCCTGGACAACAAAGTGAGACCCTTATTCTACAAAAAATCAAAACATTAGCCAACTGTAACAGCACACACCTATAGTCCCAGCTGCTCAGAAGGCTGAGGTAGGAGGACTGCTTGAGCCCAGGAGATCCAGACTGCAGTGAGCCATAATCTAGCCACTGCACCCCAGCCTGGATGACAGAGTGAGCCCATCTCAAAAAGAAAAAAAGACAATATGTGTTTGTTATGAAAAAGGATGACTAGGCCAAGCACAGTGGCTTCACACCTATAATCTCACCACTTTGAGATGTTGGCCAGGAGTTTGAGATCAGCCTGGCCAACATGACGAAACCCCATCTCTACTAAAAATACTAAAATTAGCCAGGCATGGTGATATATGTCTCTAATCCCAGCTACTCAGGTGGCTAAGGCACAATAACTGCTTAAACCTGGGAGGCGGAGGTTGTAGTGAGCTGAGATTGCACCACTGCACTCCAGTCTGGGCAACAGAGCAAGAATCTGTCTCATAAAAAAAGAAAATAGAAGAAAAAGAAAGAAAGAAAAAGGATGACCATCATAACATTATTTGCTATAACAAAGAAGAAGAAACCCAAATGGCCACCAATAGAATAATTAATAAATTGTGGTACATCTATGCAATATACTATAAAGGTGCCAAAAATAAAGGCCGATCTACTGCAATCAAAAGATGTCAGATATTCTACATGACAAACTGCTTAACAGTATGGATAATGCCATGTATATTAAAGGCGGGGAGGGGGACGTTAATATATACAGAGGGGGAAAGTGGAATGACACTTATTTCTGAAAGATTATTAGAGGCTATGTACTACTTCTGAAATACTGGGACTTTATTTAATGAATATGTGTTACTTTGCAGTCAGATGAAAAAATTTAAACAAGTAAAACTGGCCTTTGGTGTGAAAAACAATGGAAAATACAAATTATCTTTATCTATTTTTCGGTTTCTAGTACCAAAAAAGTCACACTTCAAAATTCTCCATGATGCTTTACTCTTAGCAACGGATCTCCATTCAAAATACTCATAATATCTAGTAGGGTAAATGAACATCTAAATAGCCTAATACAAGAAAGTTAGCAACTTTCCTCACGTACAAATTTCAAAAATGGTACCTATTCAAAAATTGACTTCGATCTATTTCTCAAATTGACTTTTTAATTAACCAAAACCATTATCCAAAGGGCTAATGTTCAAACTTAACAAACACTGAAAATTTCTATGCTTGTAGTATGAGGGGTCTAAAAAAAGATTTACGTTCGCCTCTGCCCCACAACTGGCCTGTTAAAAAGGCTGTTAATGGAAATAACTAATCACTGGCCCTAAAATACCACATTCCAGCTGGTCTTCTTTTGATACAGCAAGCTAAGTTTGGAGATCTTTACATGCATTTCTCACCTTGTTTGTCCTAAGGAAAGGCTCTGCATCCCTCCAGAAAGGCTGGAGAACAGCTATCTCTGGAAATGACACACACACACAAAAAAAAGGCAAAATATTTCAGGCCTTCCTAATACAAAATAAGAGATCGATCCCAGCTAACGTTCTCGTTGCATTATGTTCTCGTGAGATGCATTACCTCTTGCAAACAACATTTCTCAGACATACAGAAAAGAAAACGGCAAGTACATGCCTACATATGATGGGAAAAGGTAGCGGAATCACGAATACGTTTTGTACCAAAGCTAAGTGCTTCATATATATTGTCTCGCTTTACTCCCCACAACAATTTAAAAGGTAGGCATAAGCCTTAAAATTACAAAATCTGAAACAGCGCCGAGCTCCCATACTAGCCTGCCTTCGCTAGCTGAAGCATTAGGGTTCGAACCCAGGTGGGTCTTTCTTAACTCAAAACCAAGGTAATTCCACACCGAAGGCTCTTTCCATCCCTCTTCCTCCTCCAAAGACAAATCTGCAAAGGGCTGCACTGTACAGCAGTCACCCACACCCACTTCTTAACAAAAAGAAAGGAAAGCACAGCCTCACCACCTTCCCAATCTCACCCTGAACTGCACCCATCCACTGTAGTTCGCTTTTACTTCCGCCTCTGGGGTCCGGAGCGGCTAGGAGGAGCGGAAGTGGAAAAGACTAACTTCCGGCCTCGGGTCGCGCGCAGAGGTGATGTCGTTGGTCCTGCGCCCCCTCGTGGCGGTACTTCAGCCCTTCGCAGCCCGACGCTAGGGGCCTGGCAGGGGGCAGCAAGAGACCGCGGTGAGCGCGGGGTATTGAACGCCAAAGAAGGGGTTTGGAGGGTGGGGTGGGGCCTGGGACTCCCAGTCGCCTGGGCAGATGTCCGTGGGGAACTGTAAGGCATCTTATAGGGATCCTACAGGGGGCATCCACTGCCGGCCGACGACACGTGGTGGAAAAGTAGCTATTATTTACATGCGTGTTGCAGTTTTTGATAATGCGATTGCTGCTGCTAATGTGACTAACGCGATGCCGATGAACATCTCGGCGTTTTTTGGTGCAGGATAAGCGGGTGTAGACTCTGTCTGTTTAGTCCCAGATTCTCCTCCTTTAATGAACTACCGTGGAAATCCTGGAGTGTCACTGCTGGTCTGAATTCAGCATCCGCCTTCAGGCTGGAAATCAATTCTAGTATACTTCGATTTCCTTACTTGCAGTTCGAATTCAAATATGATTCTTTTGACATTGTGAGGGTTTGCGCTATTTAAAGAATGGAGGCAACCGAAACCTCATCTCCACAGTGGATGCATTTTTGCTCCCTCCCGAGGCGTTGCCTTAAGCCACGCGGTCCTGTCAGCCTCACCTGCCTAGTGATGGTGACAATGGAAGAGATAAAGCTTCAATTCAAGGCACTTCTCCTGTGACCATCAAAAGAAAGATAATATCTACATTAATGAATTAATTGTGTCTGTCGAGTTATCCTCAGGAGACGATGGTGATTTGGTCCTTAAAAAAACACAGGATCAACAGGATTGACCCTGAATTCTACAAAGAGGAAAAATTTCAGGCATTACTAACTCCTCCATGTACAAGCCTAATGATGTAATTTTCTGGCCGGGCGCGATGGCTCATGCCTGTAATCCCAGCACTTTGGGAGGCCAAGGCGGGAGGATGGCTTGAGGCCAGGAGTTCGAGACCAGCCTGGCCAACATGGTGAAACCCCATCTCTACAAAAAGTACAAACATTAGCCAGGCGTGGTCACAGGTGCCTGTAGTCCCAGCTACTTGGGAGGCTAAGGTGGGAGAATCACCTGAGCCTGGGAGGTTGAGGCTGCAGTGAGCCGTGATTGTGCCACTACACTCTAGCCTGGGTGACACAGTGAACCTTGTCTCAAGAAAGAAAAAGAATTTTCTTTATCCCATTTCTTTCTCCTTTTTCTTTTTTTTTTTTTTTTTTCCTTTAGACGGAGTCTCACTCTGTTGCCAGGCTGGAGTGCAATGGCGCGATCTCGGCTCACTACAACCTCTGCCTCCCGGGTTCAAGCGATTCCCCTGCCTCAGCCTCCCGAGTAGCTGGGAGTACAGGCGCGTGCCACCATGCCCGGCAATTTTTTTGTTTTGTTTTTTGTTTTTTTGTTTTTTTGTATTTTAGTAGATACGGGGTTTCACCATGTTGGCCAGGATGGTCTCGATCTCCTGACCTCATGATCCACCCACCTCGGCCTCCCAAAGTGTTGGGATTACAGGCGTGAGCTACCGCACCCGGCGTGTTTATCCCATTTCTATGCCAATGAACCAATTACGTTTTACCATCACTCTTCCCCTTTGACTACTCCTAGTTGGGTTGTTGTTGTCACTTTGTTTTTAATTAACTCTCTGTTTTGTTGGTTTAGAAGGATAAAGATTTATCTTTGGGAATTTAAAATACTAATAATCAGTCTATCTATTAAGTAAACTACTTACTGCAATTCCTCCAGGTAAAAATTAGTCCCAAAAAATTGGAGATGGCTTTTAAAATGTGAATTTCTAAAATCTATATTCCTTCTGCATGGAAGGAGCTCCTATGTCTGAATTAATATTATTATATATTATGTATATACACACACACAAACTGCTTTACAATCGGCATGTAAAATAAAATTTAGAGATTAAATTAAATAAAATAACCTTTGAGATTATTGAGCCCCAGCCCTCTCATTTTACAAATGAGAACACTGAAACCCATACAGTAGGAACTAGCAAGAGAATGCATGTCTTATATTTTCTTTACCAGTAACTCTAAGATTTATACCACATACTTTGTTGTATTGATTTAGCTATCAATAATTATTTCAGACTTACTTAGGTAACATCACCTATGTTGGTTTTTAGTGATATTTTGTCGGTAAAGGCAGATTGGTTCTTTTGAAAATAAGTTCCATATTTCCCATCAGAAATTTTCTGATTATAAATCTATTTTAATTGCATATTATAAAATACTGAAAGTATAACAATAGAAGTGTAATAATGGTTGGGTTAGGATGTTGTATAATTAATTAGGTTTCTTTCTTATTGTATTTCTTCAGTGATTTTTGAAATGTCATTACCTCCAGTAAGAGAAATGACTACTGCCTCATCGTCCTTTATGATGTTTTACAATAGGACCTGTATATACTTTGCCTGTATTTCATTTGTTTATTCAATGAACATTTTTTCAGCACCTTCACATTCCAGGCCCTGTTTTCAAGTTAGGGGACATAGTGGAAACCAAGACAAAGCCCCTGCCTTCCTGGACCTTATTTCTAGTGGCAGGTCTTACTCTCAGCCTGAATGTCTTCTCCTCTACATGCCTCTTCCATCTCCTTCCCCAGGACCATAGCAGACCCATGTCCCTACCAAGTTGATGTAATTAAGAAAAATAAAGTGGCTGAGTGTAGTGATTCACACCTGTAATCCCAACACGTTGGACTTAGATACTCAGAAGCTGGGCTGAAAGTCAAGTCTGAAGACAGAATCTGTGCTGTATTCAGAAGTGCCTCTGCCTTTTATAATTAAGAATTTTTTGACTGTGCCAAATGTGCCTGTTCCTCTGCCCTGGAAGTGTCCTTCTTGCTTTATGCAAATAGATTTCTGGCAAACCACAGCCCCTCAATTGACCATTCATTCATGTTTGAATCTCAGCAAGCCCAATTAAGGTCAAAAAGAAAGTGGCCCTTCATTCCTCCCACTCTTACCTTCAGTTGATACAACACCCGCAGACTCCTGGATTCAGTAGACAAATGCCTGCCCCACCCCCACATCAACTTCACAGACAGACCTGCTAGCTTCCTATGTGACTTACTTGAGGGCCCTCAGAGGACCATCAGGTCTCTACCCAGGACTCCCTTATTCCATTCTCTTGCCTGCAGCTGTTTTGGTTGCCAAAAGCATAAAATGTCTCCCAGTTGTTCAAGGCTAATTAAAGTGGTAGATAAAGTTACCCAGAGAGTCTCAGGTTAACACTTTGTTGGCAAAAAATAAAAAAGATTGCTTAATTTCCCCCCTTTTCACAATTGCTTTTTAACAATTTAAGATTTCTAAAGATTTTACTTCAGGCAACTTTATTTCTCTGAAGTGTGCCTAAAGACTTCCTGAGTCAGCTTTCATGCTCCCACACTCATTACCACAAGGGTCTGTGGCAAAGAACTGGATACTTAGCCTAGCAAATTTGCTGATTCCAGACCTGATATGACAGCAATTCCCATGGTAGTTGGATCAGCCTGACAGAGTTGGCCAAGAGAAACACAATAATCATTTGAGATGCTATTTAGCCTGGTGAGTTTAAGTACCTTTTGGATTGTTTGATCCTACTGTACCAAACCTTCAATTAATTACCGTGAAATGATTCTTAGTCATTGGTAGAAAAATTAGTCTCAACAGAGAGGAGGGGAGCAAACATTCACAAGATGAAATACTATTTTCACTGTCGAAAACTATTTTCCTTTCTATTTAAGGCGTTTCTTGAAATTCCTCCTTTAGAGATTTAGTCCTTGGTATAAACTGTGCTGATTTAAAATTGCAAATGTATTTGAAAGGGAAAGCATATTAAGCCAAAGGTCAGCAACCTTTTCCTATAAAGGACCAAATAGTATTTCAGGCTTTGTGGGTCACATACTGTCTCTGTTGCAAATTCTCTTTTTTCTTTCCATATTTCACAACCCATTAAAAGTATAAAAACCATTCTTAGCTTGGGGGCTGCTGGGCCACGGGCCATAGTGTGCTAAGACCTGCATTAAAAACGATAGTGAACTACTCACATATAACTAACTTCATTTGTTGATTACTATATTAAAGACATCCAAAAACTAGGAATTTTAAGAGAAAGTACATGGAGAGAAAAATAATATTTGAAAACATTTATGTAATGCTATCTGCCATGCACAATTCTAATCATTTCACCTCTATTAACTCATTTTGTTGTATAATGGAAGTAATATTATCTCCATTTTACAAATGGGGAAACTGAGATAGAGACTATGTAGCTTCCCCAAGCTCACGCAGGTAGTAAGTAAGGGAGCCAGCATTGCAACCTAAGAAGTCAGGCTCCAGCGTCTATGACTGTATTCACAATGCTATGCTGACACTCGGGGAGACATAATACTTTAATTTACGTTAGAAAATACAAATAAAGAAGAAAGGAGCAAAAAAATAATAATTTCACTTATAATTCCATCACCTAGAAATAACCACTATTTATATTTTATTTATATTATTTTGGTTTCTATCCTTCCAGAACATATGAAAGAATATAAAGCAAAAGAATATAAATAAAATATGTAAACTAAGTATTTTAGGCATTGTGGGTGACATATTGTGTAGCTGTAACTGAAGCTAAGTTACAGTTATATGTGAGTAGCTCATTATAGTTTAATGGAGGTCTTAGCAGACTATGGCCTATATACATATACCCATAGAGTATATTGAATATTTTTATTCAACCCTATGAGGCAGGTATCATAGTTTTGCAGATGAAACTGAGGCTCAGATGAATTAAGTGACTGTGTGTCTTCGTCCATTTTTGTGTTGCTATAAAGGATTACCTGAAGCTGAGTAATTTATAAAGAAAAGAAGTTCAATTGGCTCACAGTTCTGCAGGCTGTACAGGAAGCATGGCACTGACATCTTCTCAGCTTCTGGTGAGGGCCTCAGGAAGTTTACAATCATGGTGGAAGGCAAAGGGGGAGCAAGCGTCTCATGTGGCAAGAGGGAACAAACAGGAGACAGGAGGTGCCACACACTTTTAAACAACAGGATCTCACAAGAGCTTACTCTTACAAGGACAGCACCAAGAATATGAGGAATCTGCCCGCATGACCCAAACACTTCCCTCCAGGCCCCACCTCCAACACTGGGGATTACATCTCAACACTGGATTTGGAGGGGACATCCAAACTATATCAAGGCTGTACAAGAAGCTTGGTGCCAGCATTTGCTTCTACGCAGAGCCTCAGGCTGCTTCTACTCACAGTAAAAGGCAAAAGGGCATGCAAAGATCATGTGGCAAGAGAAGAAGTGAGGGATGGGGGATGCCATGCTCTTTTTAACAACCAGCTCTCATGGGAACCAAGAGGGACAACTCACTCATTATAGCACCAAGCCTGTATCCCTCCCATTATGCCCTACCTCCAACATCGAGGATCAAATTTCAACATGAGGTTTGGAGGCTCAAATATCCAAACAATGGCATTATGTCAGGATCATAAAGCTAATGTTTGTGAAACCAGGATCTGAACCCAAGCTATTGCTTCTAGAACCTGTACTCTTAAGCCCTTGCTTATACTGCATTTGAAATTATGCTTCATTGTATAAAAAGTCCTTTTCACCTCAAGCTTATAGAGAAGTCACCTTGTTCTTAAAAAGTCCTTTACACTTCAAGTTCATAAAGCTCAGGCACATATATTTTCTTCCAGTACGTTCATTATTATTTTTCTTGGTTTTCCTTTAAATCTTTGAATCATCTGGATTTTATTTTGGAATGAGAAATGAAGTAGAAATTTATTTTTGTTTCTTTTCAGAATGGCTGGTCAATTGTCCTAACATCATTTAATGAATAGTATTTATTTCCCCTTTGCTTTGAAATACTACTTTATCATATACTAAATTATAAAGTAATCTTTTATTATCATTTTTGAATGACTGCATTCCAGTTGTGGAAGATATTACTCAAAGTCTGTTGTGATTATCTAACTTAAGTGTTGATATGAAGAAAGGAAAGTAGGTTTCAGCCTGATTTAAGAATTTTCCTCCTCTCCCTCTCCCTCTCCCTCTCCCTCTCCCTCCCCCTCCCCCTGCCCCTCCCTGTCTCCCTCTCTCTCTCCCTCTCTTTCTACGTCTCCCTCTCTTGCCGAGCCTGGACTGTACTGCCATGATCTCGGCTCACTGCAACCTCTCTGCCTCAGGCTCCCATGATTCTCCTGCCTCGGCCTGCTGAGTGCCTGGGATTCCAGGCACGCACCACCACTTCTGACTGATTTTTGTATTTTTGGTGGAGACGGGGTTTCACTGTGTTGACCGGGCTGGTCTCCAGCTCCTGGCCTCGGGTGATCTGCCCCCCTCAGCCTCCCGAGGTGCTGGGATTGCAGACGGAGTCTCGCTCACTCAACGCTCAATGTTGTCCAGGCTGGAGTGCAGTGGTGTGATCTCAGCTCGCTACAACCTCCACCTCCCAGCCGCCTGCCTTGGCATCCCAAAGTGCTAAGATTATAGCCTCTGCCTGCCCGCCACCCCGTCTAGGAAGTGAGCAGCGTCTCTGCCTGACCGCCCATCGTCTGGGATATGAGGAGCCCCTCTGCCCAGCTGCCCCGTCTAGGAAGTGAGGAGCGCCTCTGCCCAGCCGCCAACCCGTCTAGGAAGTGAGGAGCGTCTCTGCCTGGCCACCCATCATCTGGGATGTGAGGAGCGCCTCTGCCCGGCCGCCCTGTCTGGGAAGTGAGGAGTGCCTCTGCCCAGCTGCCCCAAATGGGAAGTGAGGACCGCCTCTGCCTGGCCGCCCTGTCTGGGAAGTGAGGAGCGCCTCTGCCCGGCCGCCCCATCTGGGATGTGAGGAGCGCCTCTGCCCGGCCGCCACCCCGCCTGGGAGGCAAGGAGCGCCTCTGACTGGCAGCCCCATCTGGCAACTGAGGAGCGCCTCTGCCCGGCCGCCACCCCATCTGGGAAGTGGGGAGCGCCTCTGCCCGGCCGCCCCATCTGGGATGTGAGGAGCGCCTCTGCCCGGCCGCCCCGTCTGGGAAGTGAGGAGCGCCTCTGCCCGGCCACCCTGTCTGGGATGTGGGGAGCGCCTCTGCCCAGCCGCCACCCCGTCTAGGAAGTGGGGAGCACCTCTGCCCGGCCGCCCTGTCTGGAAAGTGAGGAGCACCTCTTCCCAGCCGCCACCCTGTCTGGGATGTGAGGAGCGCCTCTGCCCGGCCGCCCCGTCTGAGAGGTGAGGAGCGCCTCTGCCCGGCAGCTGCCCCGTCTGGAAAGTGAGGAGCATCTCTGCCCGGCAGCCCCGTCTGGGAAGTGGGGAGCGCCTCTGCCCAGCCGCCCCATCTGGGAGGTGGGGAGCACCTCTGCCCGGCCGCCCCATCTGGGAGGTGGGGAGCACCTCTGCCCGGCCGCCCATCATCTGGGAAGTGAGGAGCGCCTCTGCCTGGCCGCCCATCATCTGTGATGTGAGGAGCACCTCTGCCCGGCCGCCCCGTCTGGGAAGTGGGGAGCGCCTCTGCCCGGCTGCCCATCGTCTGGGAAGTGAGGAGCGCCTGTGCCCGGCCACCCATCGTCTGTGATGTGAGGAGCGCCTCTGCCTGGCTGCCCCATCTGGGAGGTAAGGAGCGCCTCTGCCCGGCCGCCCCGTCTGGGAGGTGAGGAGTGTCTCTGCCCGCCCGCCCATCATCTGGGAAGTGAGGAGCGCCTCTGCCCGGCCGCCCATCGTCTGGGATGTGAGGAGCGCCTCTGGCTGGCCGCCATTCGTCTGGGAGGTGAGAAGCGCCTCTGCCCAGCCGCCCCATCTGGGAAGTGAGGAGCACCTCTGCCCAGCCTCCCCGTCTGGGAGGTGAGGAGCACCTCTGCCCGGCCTCCCCGTCTGGGAGGTGAGGAGCGTCTCTGCCTGGCTGCCCCGTCTGGGAGGTGAGGAGCACCTCTGCCCGGCCGCCCCGTCTGGGAGGTGGGGAGCACCTCTGCCCGGCCGCCCATCGTCTGGGAGGTGAGGAGCGCCTCTGCCCGGCCGCCCATCATCTGTGATGTGAGGAGCACCTCTGCCGGGCCGCCCCGTCTGGGAAGTGGGGAACGCCTCTGCCCAGCTGCCCATCGTCTGGGAAGTGAGGAGCGCCTGTGCCCGGCCACCCATCATCTGTGATGTGAGGAGCGCCTCTGCCCGGCTGCCCCATCTGGGAGGTGAGGAGCGCCTCCGCCCGGCCGCCCTGTCTGGGAGGTGAGGAGTGTCTCTGCCCGCCCGCCCATCATCTGGGAAGTGAGGAGCGCCTCTGCCCAGCCGCCCATCGTCTGGGATGTGAGGAGCGCCTCTGCCCAGCCGCCCATCGTCTGGGATGTGAGGAGCGCCTCTGCCTGGCTGCCCCATCTGGGAAGTGAGAAGCGCCTCTGCCCGGCCATCTCATCTGGGAGGTGTACCCAACAGCTCCGAAGAGACAGCGACCATCGAGAACGGGCCATGATGACGATGGCGCTTTTGTCGAAAAGAAAAGGGGGAAATGTGGGGAAAAGAAAGAGAGATCAGATTGTTACTGTGTCTGGTAGAAAGAAGTAGACATAGGAGACTCCATTTTGTTCTGTACTAAGGAAAATTCTTCTGCTTTGGGATGCTGTTAATCTATAACCTTACCCCCAACCCCGTGCTCTCTGAAACATGTGCTGTGTCAACTCAGGGTTAAATGGATTAAGGGTGGTGCAAGATGCGCTTTGTTAAACAGATGCTTGAAGGCAGCATGCTCGTTAAGAGTCATCACCACTCCCTAATCTCAAGTACCCAGGGACACAAACACTGCGGAAGGCCACAGGGACCTCTGCCTAGGAAAACCAGAGACCTCTGTTCACGTGTTTATCTGCTGACCTTCTATCCACTATTATCCTATGACCCTGCCACATACCCCTCTCCGAGAAACACCCAAGAATGATCAATAAATACTAAAAAAAAAAAAGAATTTTCCTTTATAGATTATTTTTCTTTTTAACAAAATTAAAAGGATTTAGTTAAGCATATTTTGGTTCAAACTTTCCAGTTGTTATAGAAGTGTGAAAAATGCAAACTGAGCTTGAAGGAATATTGAATATCTTGTCCAACCCCCGTTATTTATAGATAAGGAAACTGAGGTCCAAAATGGTAAAAATTATTATTTAACAAATAATGTTGCTAGTTAGTGACTATTACACAGGATTCTTTCAATTGCAGGTGGCAGAAATGCACCTCAAGCTAACTCAACCCAAAAAGGGAAACAGCACAATTATTTTCTCCTATGGGAAAAAGGCAGAGATGTCCTCAGGCACAACTGAATCCAGGAATTAAATTAGATCCACCGCTCTCTCTGTATCTCATCTCAGCTTCTCTCTGTACGTAGTCCTAATTTTCTCAGGCTCTCCTGTGCAACAAGGTATATGGCTACCAGTATCTCTAAGGTTGCAACCTTTTAACTGGAAACGTAAAGGAAAGAGAGAAATTCTAACTATTAGTCTTTGAACATCAAATCCAAAATAAATATTCCGATTAGCTTCTTTGAGTCATATGACCATCCCATTATTTTGGAGGTGGGGTGGAGGTGGCAGGATATGTAATTGGCAGTTCCAGAAAAACCATCTGGAGTTGGAGAAAGGAAGTTAAGGGAAATAGGAGCTCACTATTACTAGCATGAAGGAAGGGAGGTTGGACAGACAAAAGCATCTACTGTCCACCAGGGCAGCTGGAGACCCTGAATTGGAGTTGGGGGTCTTTGATCTTTCATTCAATCATCTTTTCATTTCTCTATTTATTCATTCAACACATAGTTACTGAGCAGTCTATGAGGATTGTATTTAGCTGCAAGCAACAGAATCTCCAGTCAGTGATGGCTTGTATAGCAAAAAGTGTAGAGATAGGAGTTAACTGTTCACATTGTTTTCTAACACCATGTAGTCTCACCGTTTCTCAAGCACACCCTTGCGCTTCCTTGCCCCTGGTCCTTTGTTTGCTCCTCTTCTCTCCATCTTTACTTGTTAGTCACTTAACCCACAGGGCAATATCGTCTCTCCCTGAAGGCTTCCCAAATCCACTTCTTTCCCACTTTTGTATAAATCAGAATAAATATTTCCCAATTCTGTATGTATGTAACACTTTGTTCAATCATTATAACACTGAATTCATTCTGCCATGTGTTAAAATTAATTTGTTGCATATGTATCGATCTTCTCCACAGTTAGAAATTCCTTGAGGACACAGACTTTTCTCCATTTTTGTGGAATACAGGTGTCAACATCCTCCATCCTCTGTCTCTGCCAGCTATACATGCTCCCTGCTGGAGCTAGAACCTAGGACCACTTTGAGTTCTGCTAAAGTAAACCACATCACCTGTGAACATTAGTGAGCATTAGTGAGCAATATAGACTTCATTGCAAGTTTGTCAAGGGGTTACATACCATACCAAACAGAAAAACAACATTGAGATCTCCTGTTAAACTCACTGGCCTACATTTTCTTCTTACTGACTGATTGGTCCTCAGGCCTCCAGACTCCCCATTATTTTGTCCCAATTCAGCTGTGCCCTAGCCTCATCTTCACACTGGCACCCCCAAACCCAGTATGAGGCTCAGCAAAATAAAGTTTCATCTAGGTAATAGGCCTTACCCTTGTTAGTGGATAGTGGGGATTTAAAATAGCAGATAATATTGTATTTAGTAATAGTTAATATTTTTTAAGGATTTATTATGTGTGAAGTACTACTTTCCCTGCAAGGCAGCTTTTATTATCCCCGTTTTACAGTGCAGAAAAGGGAGTCACAAAGAGGTTAAATAAATAGCCCCGTATCACACAGCTAGGAAATAGGAACCAGAAATTGAACCCAGGCTATCTAAATCCAGAGCTTGGGCCCTAATAAATATACCCTACTAACCTTTATAGAACATAATGCAGTGCCTTCCCTAGTAAGGTATCAATATGTTAGCTGGATTAAATTTACTTGCATAAGAGCATCAGAAACACTCTAACCTCTTATATTTCTAACTAACATGTCATTATGTCATTTTATTCATGAATATCTAAAGCTTTCTGTTTTTACTAGTATTATATGAATGAATGAATGGATGAGCCTACTAATTTATTGACTCTGGAACTCAGATTCCTCATCTGAAAATTATTTTATTGGTCATATAATATCCACCATTATATCATTGCTTATATAATATCCTCCATGTGGGTGCCAGAGAAACCATGAAATATAAGAAATACCTCCTACTTTTGGCAAGTCTAGTGGAGATATTTACAGTCTGAAAGAAAAAGGTGAACCAAGTGATATCGAAGGCCCCTTCCAGCTCTAAAATTCTAAGATTCTATTTAGTGGGAGATTTGCTCACATTGTACCTAAGTGGTAGATTTTTTATTACAAGAAGATGGCTCATACTTCCTCCCCTCCTAAGTGCAAAAAGAGTAAACTCTGATACATTTTAAATGACTACTGCCCTTGCTAGGCACTTGAAGAGGAGACAAGTACTGCTTGTCATATAACCACTGAGGAGTGAATAATACAGGGCTGCCTCAAAGCAAAATAATGAAGAATAGGAAGCCTTACTTTATTGCACTGCCCCCTGCCAGCCTTCCTCATTGCTCTACTAACTCCAATACGTACTAACCAGTGCCCTCCAGATCCCACTTGACACTAGCCACACCAGCCAAACGCGGTTTCCCCTTCTCCAGAACTGCCTGTACAGCTTCCTTCTTCACTTTTACCCATGAGGTGGATGCTTGACTCTTTCACCTCTGTATACTTCATATCCTGTGGTTCTCAATCCTAGCTTCTATTAACATCACCTAGGGAGCTTTGTAAACATACAGAAGCCCAGCTGTTCACCCCCAGAGATTCTGATTTAATGGGTTTGACATGAGGCCCAGATATTGGTCTGATTTTCATTGTTTTTCTTTTTAATTTCCAGCAGATTATTCTAATATATAGCCAGAATTGAGAACTACTGCACCTTTGAAACCAGAGTTGCTTAATTTTTACCTGCTGGTTAAGCCCTTACTCTGGATTCTGGGGTCAATTCTGATCTCAGCCAGGGAGTATTCAAGGATTCTTAGGCCAGCAGCTCAGCGGCTCAACTCTCAGAGCTTAATCCCACAGTGGCCTGGACTCCCAGTTGCAGTAATTACAGGCTGTTGTTGTTCATTGTGACTAAGCCTCTCCCCCAAAGGAACGTGAGTGATAAAAGGAGAAAGAGTTGCTGGGCAGACAAAATGGCAGGTGTTTAATGCCCTCCCACTTCTTTCTGCCCCCATCCCCTACTCTCAACATTTTAACAAACTTGTACTGAGTAAATAGTGTCACTTAGTGACAAGCATGCATAGGAAATCATCTGACCAAACATCTCTTCAGCCATGCTTTATGTCAAGCTGCCAAATATTTCTCTTTATTTCACTACATACCTCTTTAGTGATACCTTAATAATCTCTTTCCCACAGATGACTCATCTTTAATCCCCTTCCCTTTCTTCTCCCTCTTTTAACTTGTACCTAGTTAATTCCAGAATCCTCTCCTCTCCTTTGATTCATGTTTACAAACCTCTCCCCCAATGCTGACTGTATTCATGTCTAAGCATAAGACTGGTATAAATGTTATTTTTTTCCTTTTTCTTGGAACCCCATATACATTGGAATATCAGTGGTTTATTTAAACCAAAGAAAAAGAAAACTAAATTTTTTAAACATGGAATTTTGATATGAAAATAAAGAACATCTAGTGTCCATAAAAGTACTATTATTTGATACTTGTTTGGCAATCTTTTTTTTTTCACTGTTTTTTCTGCTTTTTTTTTTTTTAACAACACTTCATTGGTGTGGGTTATTCTCAGAACATTAGCACCATCTGTAACACTGTTTAAATTGGAAATTCTACTCTAAGTACCAAAGTTTTGGAACCCAGCTCATCTGTAAATTGAGGACTGCATGAATATGCCTAACAGCATGCTGGGCACCACATTAACTAAGAAATCCACTTTGCCAGTGTCAGAGGGAATTGTTTTTAAGGTTTGCCAAAGGAGAGGAATGCATATGAAGGCAGACTTTAATAGCATATGTTTCTGTGGATAAGACTGATGACTGGCCGGGTGCAGTGGCTCATGCCTGTAATCCAAGCACTTTAGGAGGCTGAGGCGGGTGGATCATTTGAGGTCAGGAGTTCAAGACCAGCCTAGCCAATATGGTGAAACCCCATCTCTACTAAAATGCAAAAATTAGCTGGACAGTAGTGGCACATACCTGTAATCCCAGCTACTCGGAAGGCTGAGGCAGGAGAATCGCTTGAGCCTGGGAGACGGAGGTTGTGATAAGCCCAGATCACACCACTGCACTCCAGTCTGGGCAACAGAATGAGATTCTGTCTCAACAACAACAACAAAAAAGACTGATGACTTCCCAGCCATCAGTGAGGTATAGGGAGTTATTCTCTTGTTTGCCCTAGCAGAATCTGCCATATATGATGTTCTTAGTGCCAAGCACTAAGACACAGCACCAGTGAACCCATTAATTACTATGAGAATTTGTCGAAGCAGTTCCTATTATCATGCCTGGAACTATTCTCAGAAAGGTGCTTTTAAATTTTAAGTATTTGTATAATTAAAGTAAGTACTCCAAAGTATGTTCATTTTTCCTGACATTAAATATAAACCTAACCTTGATTCTGTTCTCTATTTTGACCAGGCAGTGTGATCCTCTGTGAACATTAGCAGAAGACCAAAAAAAAAAAAAAAATCAAATGTTGAAAGCACATAAACAATTAATTTTTTTCTATTATGCAGTGAAGTGTATGTTCTGTATTGCCCTTGAAAATAATGCAATCATGATTTGTGATCTGTATGTATTTTTAGTACATATTCAAATTAGCCATTATGAATCAAGTATCCTAAAATCATTTAATTAATTAGCTGCATTATTTAAACCCCTACTTAAATTTCTTCCCTAGACATATTATTCCTACAGACTAAATTATTCATCTCACCAAACTTTCTAGACTGACAAAGCCACTTGCTTTCTAGCTAAAATGATATTGTGAAAGTGAGTATCTGCTCAACAAATACTTTTTCTTTTATTAAAAGATAAGGGTAAAGAGCCATCATGTCTAAAAATAGCTACTTGGAGCTTAAAATCTGTCAGACCATATGTTGTAGGACTCCAAGATCCAGGAAACAAAGACATTCTTCTCCTGGGGATATGTGTTATTACAATCATTCTAGAAGATTAAGTGCCAGTTCATTTGTATAACTGTCCAGTCATGTAAACATCCTCAGAAGAGAAACAGATATGAATTCCTGGGGATGGTGAAGGAAAAACATTAGTGAATTGGAACTGAACTGATCTGCATGCTTTTGTGCCTGTGTTGTGAGAATCCATATGAGCATGTGATTTTTTTTCTAGTATCCTTAAGATTTATTTTCAGGAAAAAAGTTTTACTTTTCTTGTTTCTCATTGAATGTCAATGGGATGGCCACAAAATATAGGATTTGAGATAGTCTTTGCCTATAAGCAAGATAGCATTTTACAAAGCATTATAGTGTCTTTGTAATTCTTTTTTCCACATTGAAATTTTAACATTTTTTTTCTTCGTTTTTTCACTTTTGTTTTTTGAGACAGAATCTTGCTCTGTCACCCAGGCTGGAGTGCAGTGACATGATCATATCTCATTGCAACTTCAAATTCCTGAGCTCAAGGGATCCTCCTAACTCAGTCTCCTGAGTAGCTGGGACTACAGATGTATTCCATCATGACTACTTTTTAAAATTTTTTGTAGAGACAGGGTCTCATTTTCTTGCCCAGGCTGGTCTCAAACTCCTGGGCTCAAGCAATCCTCCTGCCTCAGCCTACCAAAGTGCTAGGATTACAGATGTGAGCCACTGCCCCGGCCCACTTGTAAAGTTTAAAAACTTATTTTAAAGCTTTGACATAAGTTCTCAAACATATTGCCATTAATCTCTAAATATGTCTTACATATATAGTGCACATTTTATAATGTTTTACATATTTTGTGTGGTGTTCACTTAATCATCTTCAGAAATTTAATTACAATATGCTATTAGATAATCATTCTGAGACTGTGTACATAGTACATTGAAGCGGTGTGGCAGGTACTCAGTTTGGACCACAGACAATTGCAACCTCCAAATGGGATTTTTTTCTACATTAGTAACTATCAAATCTCCACTTCTCTTTAGATCAGAGAGACCCAACTACATTGGCATATTTACAAAGCCAAACACTTTTTAAATGCTGAGGTTGAGAGGTCCAAGTCTTCTCCAATTACTTGGGAATGATTGTGCAGACTAGTTGTAAAGGTAGAAATGTATATTCTTTGTCAACTAATAAAAGAACTTAAGTCCTTTTCAAGTGATGGAGAAGGTGGGAGGAAATGAATTTCATTTCAGTGTGTTACTTCTAGGTCATGAGGCCATATTTGTTTTAGTTTTTAAAATTATATGTGTGTGTATATGGATTTACATACACATGATACCAAAATACAAAAGCATGTATAATAAAAACTAAGTCTCTCTACCTTTCCTCTACTTTTTCTCTTTTCCCAAAATGGGAAAAAGTTACTCATTTTCCCTCTTTGGAAGCAAACACTATACCCAGTTTCTTGAAGATTCTTCCAGTGACAACCTATTCATTTGCCAACATACCTGCATAAATTTTCCCTCTTTTTCTCTTTTTCTCTCCCTCTCCCTCACCCCCGACTCTGTCCTTTCACACACCAGATAGTATATCATATATTTTGCTCTGTTCCTTGATTTTTCACTCTTGGCAATTGTTCCAAATCAGTATATATAAAAGTCATTATTCAAGCTAGTAGCTGCATAGTGATCCATTGTATGAATATATCATAATTCATCTAAACAGTCTCTATGATGAGTGTTTAGATGTTTTTTCATCTTTTACTATTGCAAATACTCTGCAACAAATATTTTATTTGCATATGCTTTGGGTTGCACATATGCAAGATTATCTATACAATAAATACCTAAGAGTTGACATTATTAGATCAAAGAGTATGAGCATTTTTAATTTTGACAAATAGAACCAAATTGCCCTCCAAAAAAGTTGTACCAATTTTCATTTCCAACAGTAATGCATGAGAAGGAAGTCATATTTTTGACTCATTTTATATTTGTGTTCAAAAGGAATAAAAGAACAAAATATTCTTTTTAGGTTATAAATGTTAGCAAAATGCAGCATTTGAAAGATAGAAAATATGAAGTAAGAGATAGCAACTTGACTGCACTGTATATAGCAACCATTTCAGTTTGTTGACAAGCAAGAAAATAATAGTCATGTTATATGAGAAAAGGTTTTGAATTATAATTTTCGAAACCATGCAAATTGTTATATCTATTTCTATTATTATTAAAAGTAATAGTTATTACCAATAATAATAATAATAATAGAGAAAATATTGCATGGATACACAAAACTTTGACACATAAAACAAGTATATAATTAGACTATGACTTTTTAAAAATCTGTGCTAAAATAATAGACATCATAATATTACAAGACTCTAAATTAGGCCTCAAGTTGATAAATAGATATTCTGGAAGTACAACTTAAAATTTTTTTAGAAAAAAAAACACTTAAAGATTGAAAAACTTCAGTAGAGTATACAACTTTTCACCAGGAGGCCAAATACTGTGTTACTTCATAATATGAAAAAAGTTTTACAAACTTATAGAAATGGTAAAGCAAAATCTAAGCACATAGTTTTGGAGGTAAGAGTCTTAAGGAATATTAATGTCAAAAAAAAAGGATTCCTCTCTTAATAAAGTTTCTAAGAGCACCAGGTGACTATTTCACTAAGGAAAATTAAAGTATGCCTCAGCTAAGCTCATATTGTCACTTCTGGATATTTGGGATGTTAACAGATAAAAATGTGTTTTTTATGAAGAATTGACAAAGTAAGATAATAGTGACCTATTCTATAAAATTTCTGAATAATATGAATTATAATTACAAAATTAAAAACAGAAATCATCTCCTTTATTAAGAAAAGAATTCTCAACCATCTTTTTGTCATTCACAATTCATTTTGTCAGTCAAAATTAAGGCTGAACTAAAAGTCAATTCCACTATGTGGATTTTTCTTATTACCTTACAGTGATTGGACTAGATATTCAGTGGAAAACCTCATTACTGAAACTCTGTTATTAAAAGTGGGTGAATGAATCATTTTTATTTATCCATAATATTTGTACATATTTATGGGATATGTATGATATTTTGCTACATGAACAGAATGTGTAATGATCAAGTCAGGATATCGTTTTTATGTGTTAGGAACATTGTAAGTCTCCTCTTCTAGCTATTTGAAATGTGCACTGTGTTCTTGTTAACTATAGTTACCCTACTCTGCTATCAAATATTAAAACTTACTCCTTCTATCTAACTCAGTGTTTGTACTGATAAAAGAAAAACTTCGCCAAATTAAATTTAAAGGAATTTAATTGAGCTATGAACGATTCGCAGATTGAGCACCCTGCCATGCCAGAGTAGGCTCAGAGACTCCAGCGTAGTCACATGGTGGGAGAAGATTTATGGACAGAAAAAGGAAAGTAACATACAGAAAACTGAAATGAGGTAAAGAAACGGCTGGATTGGTTACAGGTTGGCACTTTCCTTATTTGAACATGGTTCCAACAGTTGGCTACATTTGATTGGCCAAAACTCAGTAATTGGCACAAGTGTAGGCTTCGGTCTGTTTACAGCTCCACTAGTTATAGTTCACGATGTACATAAAAACCCTTAACCTGAACTTAAAATATGTAAGGAGGTAGCTTTAGGCTAATCTTGATTTAACAGTGCCCACTAACCAACGTCTCACATTCCCTCCTTCTTCCAGAACAAATAGTTTAAACCCACACAGCTGGTTATTAAATTTATTATAAATTGTGTCTACAAGATAACAAAGGAAACGATTTGGTCAAATAACTACTGGTCAAGTCAGTTAAACATAGTCAGTTAACACAGGTTTGGGCATAGCCTAAGCCTCCTATGCCTGAAGATTAAATGTGGAAGTGGTGCATGAAGTACTCAGCATGGTGACCAGGGCATATTGAGCACCCGATAAAATCCTTACTATAAAAACAAAAACATAAAACCAGTCAAACCAGTCTTTTGACATCATATAAAAGATAAACTGTCATTCGACTGAATTTTTCATATTTCACACAAATATTTTTCATGCTATAATCTCAGCCCTAATCTCAGATGACAGAGAAAAAGGTAGCAAAAACACTACTTTATAGTAGATCTTTAAAATTAATCTAATTATGTAACTCTGTGGCATGTTTCACCACAACAGATGAGTCAAAAAACATGACTCCTATAACGTAGGATGCATCTCACATGAAAATTAAATAGCACTGTTCTTTAAGAATGAACAAGAAATGCACTGAAATGATTGAACACTTGTGTTTAACACTAATATTAAGTACTCTATCCTTATTGACTCACAATAGCATGGTCATTATCATCATCATCATTATCATCATCATCATTTCTAGCATAAGCATCATATGTGATACCAAAGCATTAAGTAATTTTTAAGCTTAAATGATCAATTCTCCATCCTATTGTCTTTTCAACACTGATTTTATTTCTGCAGCTACTTGAGGTTGGGCATCTTTAGGTTATTCTGGAATTTTACACACTAGTATCTTCTCTCTGAAGAAGTTAACATTACATACAATTCGAGAGTACAAAGAGAACTGATTATATATTTCTTCAGATAAACAAGTCTTCTTATACAAATGTAGAAATCAACCTCTGGATTTCCGAAATAATACATCTTGAATGTTCCCCAGATGCTGCTACTATGGTGACAGACTAACTGGTAACATTCTGGAGTGCTTTACTGTAATGGCTGGTTCTGTTATTTCTTAAAGCAGAAAAATGGTTTTAAAAAGTAAGACTAAAATGAAATATTTCCCAAGTTGTTACCCCTTTTTTCTGTTTATCTACAATGCTGTCTCAGCAAAACACAAAATCTAGACCAAATTAATATCCCACAGAAATTTCTAATGTGTAATTTCTATAATTTTCTTCCTTCTTATATTAGTCTTTTAAAAGGCATTGAATTCATTAATGAACAGGATATTTAGCTACCCTGACAACTAATATCTGTACAATCAATTAAAAATCATCCATGCTGGTGACTAGATTCAGTTGTTAATATATCCATTAAAAAACAGGGTGAAGTATTTGTTTTCCAGATTAAGTTTTCTTTTGTTTTTGTTTTTTTGTTTTTTGTTTTTGTTTTTTTGTTTCTGTTTTTGTTTTTTTTTTGAGACGGAGTCTCGCTCCGTCACCCAGGCTGGAGTGCAGTAGCATGATCTCAGCTCACTGCAACCTCCGCCTCCCGAGTTCAAGCGATTCTCCTGCCTCAGCCTCCCCAGTAGCTGGGATTACAGGCACCCGCCACCACGCCCAATTAATTTTTGTATTTTTAGTAGAGACGGTGTTTCACCATGTCGGCCAAGCTGGTCCTAACCTCGTGGTCACTCCTGACCTCAAGTGATCCACCCGCGTCAGCCTCACAAAGTGCTGGGATTACAGGTGTGAGTCACCGTGCTCAGCCATGTTTATTTTTTATTTATTTATTTATTTATGTATTTTTGAGACGGAGTTTTGCTCTTGTTGCTCAGGCTGGAGTGCAATGGCAGGATCTTGGCTCGCTGCAACCTCCTCCTCCCAGGTTCAAGCAATTCTCCAGCCTCAGCCTCCCCAGTAGCTGGAATTACAGGCGCCCCCCACCACGCCAGGCTAATTTTTTCTTTTTTTTTTTTTTTTTCTGAGCCAGAGTCTTGCTCTGTCGTCCAGGCTGGAGTGCAGAGGGCCGATCTCAGCTCGCTGCAACCTCCGTCTCCCAGGTTCAAGTGATTCTCCTGCTTCAGCCTCCCAAAGTGCTGGGATTACTGGCATAT